>NC_000022.11:31739867-31891382 GCF_000001405.40 Homo sapiens | reverse complement strand
GAGAACGCCTGAAAGAGCTGCTGAGCTAAATTAATTGAATGTGGCTGAAAGGATGAGTTGATAAAGATAATGTAAAGATAATGATTTTAAGTGATATGTTTTTTGCTTTTGCATTAAGAGGTAATTAAAGAGAAAGGACTAGAACACGTTATTGTCGATGACTTGGTGGCTGAAATCACTCCAAAAGGCAGAGCCCTAGTACTTGACAGTTTAAAGAAGGAGCTCCTACAAAAAAATAAAAACATTCCTTGCTCAGCCTGTCAGTCTTTAAGATTGACCTAGATTGTGTTGTTCTGTGGTATTATTTTTGAAAGTAATATCTGCCATAAATTAGAAAACCATTCCCAAAATAAAATTCATTTTTTAGCCGGGCATGGTGGCTCACGCCTGTAATCCCAGCACTTTGGGAGGCCAAGGCAGGCGGATCACCTGAGGTCAGGAGTTCAAGACCAACATGGAGAAACCCCGTCTCTAATAAAAATACAAAAAATTAGCCGGGCGTGGTGATGCATGCCTGTAATCCCAGCTACTCGGGAGGCTGAGGCAGGAGAATTGCTTGAACCTGGGAGGCAAAGGTTGCAGTGAGCCGAGATCGCACCATTGCACTCTAGCCTGGGCAACAAGAGTGAAACTCCATCTCAAAATAAAATAAAAATTTTAAAAATCTTTTTTTTGAGACAGAATCTCACTTTGTTGCCCAGGCTGGAGTGCAGTGGCGTGATCTCGGCTCACTGCAACCTGGGCCTCCCAGGTTCAGGAGATTCTTGTGTCTCAGCCTCCCAGGTAGCTGGGCCTACAGGTGCACATCACCACGCCCAGCTAATTTTTGTATTTTAATAGAGTTGGGGTTTCCCTATGTTGGCCAGGCTTATCTCGAACTCCTAGCCTTAATTGACCTGCCCACCTCGGCCCCCGAAGGTGCTGGGATAATAATGAGCCACCATGCCTGGCCAAAATCCCTTTTTGTATGATGATATATGGTTTTCAGTAGTGATGTCTATGTTGTATTGATTTTTTCCCCCAAATGTGTTATTTTAATAAATATCTCATGAATGGAAAAACAAACAAAAACCTAGAACATGCAAATGGGAAAACTTATTGATTTGAAGTTGGAAGATCTAAGCTCTGCCATTTAGTAACCATATGTCTCAGAGAGCATTGTTTCACCTCTCCTGATTTAGTTCCTGAACTACAAACTGAGATGTGCCAGCCCAGATGGTTCATAGAGACAGGATGAGAATCAGGTGAAGCATGGATGAGAAAGGAGTGTGGACCTCCTCTCTTGCCTTACCCAGCCACCTAACTTGTAACTCTCCTCTTTTCCTTCTGTTCCTGCTGGTCTCTTCTCCCAATTTAGGCCATTAGTTTGCCAATGTTCAATCTGAGGCCTGTCTGTGCCGCCCATGGACACTGGTTGGCTGTCTGTGACATTTAAGGCTAAAGAACTTGGTCACTCCAATGCTAAAAGGCTCATCAAAACTACATTCTGTCTCTGCTTCATGTTATGGATTCCTGATACTGCCAGAATAACCCTTTACTTAGCCAAAATCAAAACAGTGGCTCACACCTGTAATCCCAACACTTTGGGAGGCCGAGGCGGGTGGATCACGAGGTCAGGAGATCGAGACCATCCTGGCTAACAAGGTGAAACCCGTCTCTACTAAAAATACAAAAATTAGCCGGGCATGGTGGCGGGTGCCTGTAGTCCCAGCTACTTGGGAGGCTGAGGCAGGAGAATGGCGTGAACCTGGGAGGCGGAGCTTGCAGTGAGCGCCTCTGCACTCCAGCATAGGCAACAGAGCGAGACTCTGTCTGGAAAAAAAAAAAAAAAAAAAAAAAAAGAAGTTTTGCCCTCTGGTCTTGGACACTGTGTGTTTCTTCCCAAGTGAAAAGTCTGTGTCACAAAGACGAGGATATTCAATAAATACCAGCAGTGGCCTCATGCATCTCTTCTCTCCCATCTGGCATGTTAAGTTCAGAACATGCTGGCCTGGGCCAGGAAGTACGCTGTTCAACCAAGTGGTTACAGGCTGAAGATACTACTGGCCCTGTACTTTGGGGATAGATTTGGCAGTACATATGTTTCTAGCGGATTATGATGTTGATAAAGATATGAGACCAGCTGAGTTCAGCTTTCAGTAAGTTCATAGAATCATTACGTGAGTTCCATGAGAACCAACTTATTCACACAAGACCAATAAATACATGCAAGCCCAGAGGAGGAATAGGCTGAGCATCCTTCACCCAGGTCATAGCTAGGGGGTTATCAGTAACCTGGGGAAGGGGACAGTGTCAGCAGAGGAGAAAAATGCAACCCCAGGTAGGGGAGTGATACTCTACGTAACAATCAGAGGTGCCCAGGTACAGAACAAGCAGTCTTGGGAGTGAGTGCCATGTTGAGGGGGTTTTTCAAAGAGAAGCTTGCTCCCCACTTATCAGGAGTGCTGCAGAAAATATTCAAGTGTCAGGGTTTGGACAGAGGTGCTCTAAATTCCCTTCTGATCCCAAAATCCAGTGGGCCGTCAAGAAAAGGCTGGGGCCGAGCGCAGTGGCTCACGCCTGTAATCTTAGCACTTTGGGAGGCCGAGGTGGGAGGATTGCTTGAGCCCAGGAGTTCAAGACCAGCCTGGGCAACAAAGACCCTGTCTCCACAAAATATCAAAAAATTAACCAGGCATGCTGGCACATGCCCGTGTTCCCAGCCACTTGGGAGGCTGAGGCAGGAAGGTCACTTGAAACCAGAAGGTTGACGCTGCAGCAAGCTAGGATCATGCCACAGCACTCCAGCCTGGGCAACAGAGCAAGACTCTGTGTCAAAAACACAAACAAAGAGCCGGGTGTGGTGGTTCACTACTGTAATCCCAGCACTTTGGGAGGCCAAGGCAGGTGGATCACCTGAGGTCATGAGTTTGAGACCAGCCTGACCAACATGGTGAAACCACATCTCTATTAAAAATAGAAAAACATTAGCCAGGTGTGGTGGTGCACGCCTGTAATCCCAGCTACTCGGGAGGCTGAGGCAGGGGACTTGCTTGAAACCGGGAGGCGGAGGTTGCAGTGAGCTGAGATCACGCCACTGCACTCCAGCCTGGGCGACAAAGCAAGACTCCGTCTCCAAAAAAAAAAAAAAAAAAAAAAAAAACCACAGACAAAACAAGGCTGAGAAGGAAAGGCATGTGAGTGGGCCTAAGAGCTGCAGGGCTGCTGCTTCTAGAGTCTCAGATGCTCCTGCTGCTTCCCAGGTGAGCAGCCCAGGGTGACTGCAATGAGAAAGTGGGAGCCCCCATGAGCCAAGCCAGAGAAGGTCATGTGTCAATGTCAGGCATTTCAAAACAGACTTCCAATGCTAACTTCCAACTGAGTATCCTAAGTGTTTAAAAAGGAACATGTTGAAACAAAAAACAAAAAAAGGGACAAGTCACAAATGATACACAGGCCTTCTTCCCCCTATAAATCATGTTATTTTTTTTCTGAAGAAAAACCCAAACAATGAATACAGCTCAATTTAAAGAAAACAGATCTTCCCCACTTGAGTAAATGACACAGTAAAAGACTACATTCTAACCTGAAAAAATGCTGGGAAGAAACCTCTCATATCCTAACACAAAGGGCTGAGAGCTGTTATTGGATAGAATTAGCTGTATATGGCCATATCAGGTTTAAAAGGAAAAGAAACCCATTTCTTTTGGGAAGACGGATGGGCAAGAGGCTGATGGAATGAAATTCCTTGTAACAACTATGGAAACCACAGGAAAACTAACAAAAGGATGTTTTCCCAGGAAACATGGGCACACACAAAACTCTGCCTAGTTTCAGACTCACTGACCCCCTAAGGCCCACACAGAGACCCCAGGAGAACACTTGTTTAATAAACTACCTGCTATGGACATAAACCCTCTCTTCTTCCCAAATCTCCCTATTTTTTGGACATATGACTTTTCTCTTTTTTTTTTTTTTTTTTTTGAGACAGAGTTTCGCTTTTGTTGCCCAGACTGGAGTGCAATGGCGCAATCTCGGCACACTGTAACCTCTGCCTCCTGGGTTCAAGCAATTCTCCTGCTTCAGCTCCCGAGCAGCTGGAATTACAGGTGCCCACCACCACACCCAGCTAATTTTTTGTATTTTTAGTAGAGACAGGGATTCATCGTGTTGGCCAGGCTGGTCTCGAAATCCTGACCTTAGGTGATCCACCCACCTCGGCCTCTCAAAGTGCTGGGATTACAGGCGTGAGCCAACATGCCCGGCCTATGACTTACTTTTCTATATACTGCTTCTCTCTCTCTCTCTTTTTTTTTTTTTCGAGATGGAATCTCGCCCTGTCGTCCAGGCTGGAGCGTAATGGCACGATCTCAGCTCACCGCAACCTCCACCTCCCGGGTTCAAGCAATTCTCCTGCTTCAGCCTCCCGAGTAGCTGGGATTACAGGCACACGCCACCACGCCATGCTAATTTTTTGTATCTTTAGTAGAGATCTTCAGTAGAGATAGGGTTTCACCATGTTGGCCAGGCTGGTCTCAAACTCCTGACCTTGTGATCCGCCCACCTTGGCCTCCCAAAGTGCTGGGATTACAGGCGTGAACCACCATGCCTGGCCTCTCTCTCTCTCTTTTTTTTTTTTTTTTTTTTTGAGATGGAGACGTATTTTTTCAGGCGGGAGTGCAGTGGTGCAATCTTGGCTCACTGCAACCTCCGTTTCCCAGGTTCAAGCAATTCTCACACCTCAGCCTCACGAGTAGCTGGGATTACAGGTGCATGCCACCACACCTCGCTAATTTTTGTATATTTAGTAGAGACAGGGTTTCACCATGTTGGCCAGGCTAGTCTCAAACTCCTGACCTCAAGTGATCTGCCTGCTTCGGCCTTCCAAAGTGTTGGGATTACAGCCGTGAGCCACCATGCCTGGCCTATACACTGCTTTTCTTTAAGCACTAAGAATTATCAAAGCTAAACTGAGATGATCTGAATTTCATCTTGAGCTGAAGACCAGAAGTCAAGAGAGGGTTTTACCAGCCTGCATTAGAAGAAGGCTTTGGAAACGAGGATATTCCTATAGAAACTGTCAAGAGAGGGAATCAGCTCATGCCTTAGTCCCAGCACTTTTGAAGGCCAACTGGGAGGATTGCTTGAGCCGAGGAGTTCATGACCAGCCTGGGCAACACAGAGAGAGATTGTCTCTACAAAACCAACAAAAAAACTAGCCGGGCATGATGGTGTGCACCTGCAGTCCCAGCTACTTGGGAGGCTCAGGTGGAAAGACTGCTTGAGCCCAGGAGTTTGAGGTTGTAGTGAGCTAGGAGTAAGTAGTGAGCCTGGGAAACAGAGTAAGACCTTGTCTTTTTTTTTTTTTTTTGAGAGGGAGTCTCGCTCTGTCACCCAGGGTGGAGTGCAATGGAGTGATCTTGGCTCAATGCAACCTCCGCCTCTCGATTCAAGAGATTCTCCTGCCTCAGCCTCCTGAGTAGCTGGGGTTACATGTGCCCGCCACCACACCCAGCTAATTTTTGCATTTTTAGTAGAGACGGGGTTTCACCATGTTGGTCAGGCTGGTCTCAAATTCCTGACCTCGTGATCCACCCGCCTTGGCCTCCCAAAGTGTTGGGATTACAGGCGTGAGCCACTGTGCCTGGCCAACCCTGTCTCTTTTTTTTTTTTTTTTTTGAGATGGAGTCTCGCTCTGTTGCCCAGGCTGGAGTGCAGCGGCATGATCTCGGCTCACTGCAAGCTCTGCCTCCCAGGTTCACGCCATTCTCCTGCTTCAACCTCCCGAGTAGCTGGGACTACAGGTGCCCGCCACCATGCCTGGCTAATTTTTTGTATTTTTAGTAGAGATGGGGTTTCACTGTGTTAGCCAGGATGGCCTCAATCTCCTGACCTTGTGATCCACCCGCCTCGGCCTCCCAAAGTGCTGGGATTACAGGCGTGAGCCACCGCGCCCAGCCCACACATGATTTTTGGACAAGAGACTTGAAGCAAGTGAGGGAGGGAGACCCGAGGGTATCTTTGGGGAACAGTGCCCCAGGCGGAAGGAAAGCACTGGAAGCAGAGATGTGCACGGCGTGTTCACGGACACCAGACACAGATGGAAGCCAGCGTGGTGCAGCAGAGTACATAGGAGGCGGACAGGGGACAAGGCAGAGAATGAGGGGACCACATCCTGGGGTCCTGTAGGCTGCTGAAAACTCTAGCTTTGGTTTCGAGTGAGCTGGGAGCTACAAGAGGATCCTGCCCAGAAGGGGAACATGACCTGACTTCCATTTGAAGAGGTCTCTCTGGATCCTGTGTGCAAAGCAGTTTATAAGGAGCAGGGGAGGAAGCCAGGAGGCCAGTGCAGAGGTGACAGCAGCAATGCAGACAGAAGATGAAGGTGGCTCGAACCACGATCATAGAGGAGACAGAGTAAGGAATAGTTAATCCTGAATCAATATTGAAGGTAACTAAAAGGTAAACTGAATTTGCTGATGGGCTGGATGTAGAGCAGGAAAGAAAGACATGAGAAGGCAACTGAATTTTTCTACCTAAGTGACTAGAATGAGAAGGCAAGACGAAGGTGTTGCGGGGAAACAGCAGGGCTAGCTGGTTCTGAACACTGTACATCCAGTCCTCTAAGTGACCATGTCAAGTAGGTAGCTGGAGGGATGAGTCTCAAATTGGAGACATGGTCTAGGATGGAGATAGAAATTTGGCAGTGACCAGATCTTGGGGTAATAAAGGCCACTGGACTGATGAGACACTTTAGGGTATGGAGATGAGGGCAGGCTGAGACCCGAATGCTATAATATTAAAAGATTAGGTTGCTGAAGAGAAACCAGCAAAGGAAACTGATTTTAAAATGAAGAAGGAGAGCCAAGCAAGGTAAGGGTTTAAAGGAGGAGTCAGAGATCATTTGACAAATGCTGTTGCAGGGCAAGGAGGACCAGGACTGAGGACTGGCCGCCAGGCTAAACAACATGGGCTCCCTGCATTGGGAAGGCTGTTCCAGCGGAGGGAATAGACAGAAACCCGATTTGAGTTTTGCTTTGCCAGCAGGAGAGAGTGTGTGCCTGTCACAGATCGACAGGGATGCTTTAGCAGAGAGGGAGAATTCAGGGAGGGGGATGACTGCCAAAGTGCTACACTGAGTACTGCGAGGGCTGGGGTCTTGTGTGCAGGTGGAGATGCTGCATCAGGGGGAGGCAGAAGAGTGGGGACAGACACAGCTACTGGGCGAGGGCAGATGGCAGGTGGGAGTTTTCTTCTGACCGCTTCAGTTTTCACAGTGACACAAGATGCTGATGATGAGGGTGGGGAGCGGGGCTCAAAGCTGTGTAATGAGGTTTGGCAGCTCAAAGCTATGATTACATAAAGTGAGATGTGAGGTGGGAGAGGGAGAATGATAGCAAGATCAATTGGTTACAGGTCCTGGTGGGGGTCAAAGAACTGTTGAAGCCAGGACTGGAGGGAGTGCATTGGGAAGACCAGCAGGGATGGCATAGAGGGGAAGAAAGGACACACCCAGAGAGTTGTGGTTCTGTAGCAAGGGCCTGGGACCTGAGTGTCCCTCATCACAGGGCAGAAGCCACTCCTGGAACTGGGCTATTGTGCAAATCATCCAAAATCCTGACAGGCTTTGACTTTTGTCTCCTTGGGCCGAAATGCAGTGTGCTTGGAGTTCAGGCTTCAGGGCCAGGCAGTCCTGAGAATAAACTCCAGCTCTAGCACTTAGTGGCTGCAGAGCCTTGGGCAAATTACTTCGCCTCTCTGAGCCTCACAGTTTCCTAAACTCTAAAGCATAAATTGTAGTACCCATCAGGAGACTGACGTAAAGATTAATGAAGATTTTCTGCTCTGTACAGGACCTGACACATCAATTTTCTACAAATCATGGCATTAATGTTATTACCATCGCACCACAGCAGGCAAGACTGAAGCAACCACCACTGGCACCAGTGAAAGAAAGCACAAGAGGAGCCCAGGGGCCAGAGCAGAGCAGAGCAGAGTGGAGGACAGTGCTTCCCTCTAACATCTCAGCTCCAGCTCTGACCATTCATCCTACCCCAAAGTTCTGAAAGCACGCCCTTATCACGCATCAACTTGACACCTGCTTAGGGAAGTTACTGATGGGCTTCAAAGCCTCTCAGGTTTTGCTCTAATCTTGGCTCCTGATTGGAATCCTTCAGTTCCCCCTAGGACAGCGGTTCTCAGCTGGGGGTAATTTTACCAACCCCAGGGGACATTTGGCAATGTCAGGAGACATTTTATCACACTGGGTGGGGCTGGTAGTGCTACTGGGTAGAGGGCAGGATGCTGCTCAACATCCTCCAGTGCACAGAACACTTCCCCACAAGAAAGAATGATCTGGCCCAAAATGTCAGTAGTGCTGAAGTTGAGAAACCCTGCTCTTGGGTTTTGTATGATCTACTGGAGAAGATTCACATTAGAATAATTCCTTTCGTTGAACACTTTCAAGAAAAGGAAGAACAGGCCGGGCGTAATGGCTCCCACCTGTAATCCTAGCACTTTGGGAGGCTGAGGCAGGAAGATTCCTTGCACCCAGGAGTTTGAGAACAGCCTGGGCAACATAGGGAGACCCTGTCTCTATTTTTAAAAAGAAGAGAAGAGAAGAGGAGAAAGAAGAGAAGGAACAAGAAAATAAAAAAAAAGAGAAAGAATGAACAAATGATAGTTACTTCCCACCTTAAAAGATCAAAATTTAACAGATTTATTTTGCAAAACATTTTGCTAAAATGTGTTATACACTTGCTGCCATTAGCTGCCTCCAATTTTCTGCTTCTAATCTGGGGTCTTACCAAGAGATCTGTAAACACACTTCCAAGAAATCAGTGGAGTAAATATGCTCTATGTGCTGGTTCGAGCGCCTCTTACTACAAGGAGGTGTCACTTGGATTCGTGGCATTTATTTGAATATTTGAAATTTATTTGAAAGGAAGAAATCTTTTTGCTTTCTTCAGCTCTCACATAAATTGTCGCCATGCATGATCCAATATTTACTTATTGTAATGCATTGTGTCTTTTTCTCAGAAAGTAACCCCGAGGGGAGTGGGAAGTTGACTTTTCAGCTCTCTCTTTGGTGCGTATCTGAAAGCACCTAGCTAGCTTTCAGGCTTAGTTCCTTGTTCCGCAGAGATGAAAATTCTTAATTTTTATCTATGAGGAAAAAGTAGACTTTAAAACTTGGCTACTAAAAATAAACTTGATTTCATGAGAAAAATGGTGTAAAGTTGCTTCTTGAGAAGCTTCTCGTATGCAGCCTAGTGCTATAAGTGAATGATTAACACTGTACTTATCAAGTTCTTGTGTTTGTTATATTTGTAACAGGTTTTCCCCACTCCACCTTTGTTGCTGGACTATTGGCTTCTGCTTCCCACTGACATCAGGGTAGGTACCTGCCCTTTTCTTTGCTATTCTTTTTTTTTTTTTTTTCAGATGGAGTCTCACTCCATCACTTTTGAGATGGAGTCGCCCAGGCTGGAGTGCAGTGGTGCCATCTAGGCTCACCGCAACCTCTGCCTCTCAGATTCAAGCGATTCTCCTGCCTCAGCCTCCTGAGTAGCTGGGATTGCAGGTACCCGCCACCACACCCAGGTAATTTTTGTATTTTTAGTAGAGATGGGGTTTCATCATGTTGGCCAGGCTGGTCTCAAACTCCTGACCTCAAGTGATCCTCCTGCCTCAGCCTCCCAAAGTGCTGGGATTACATGCATGAGCCACATGCCTGGCCTTATTTGCTATTTCTAATAGGTCCTCCCATGACATAAAATCACAAGGTTGCTGCTTGCTATTCAAAGGCCTTAGGTCTCAAGCCCTGGTAGTGCTCTAGGTGGTTTAGGTTGCTGGAAGTGAGCACCCCAGGGTAACGGGTATACGGCTTCTTTAATCCCAAAAAAACGTCAAGGAAGTAGACAGTTAGAAATGCAATGAAGGGAGAAGAGCAAGTCATGACTGCCTAAGGGAAAGGAGGAGGAGCTGCTCAAGGTTCTACCCTATCCTCCCCACCCCTTCACTTCTCACACACAGCAACAGGCAATGCTGGAGTGAGCCACACCCAGATCCAAGTGAATCTGAGGATCTGAAAACTTTTTTTTTTTTTTTTTGAGAGATGGAGTCTCGCTCTAGAGTACAATGGGGCGATCTCAGCTCACTGCAACCTCCACCTCCCAGGTTCAAGCAATTCTCCTGCCTCGGCCTCCGGAGTAGCTGGGATTACAGGCGTCTGCCACCACACCTGACTGATTTTGGTAGAGACAGAATTTCATCATGTTGCCCAGGCTGGTATCAAACTCTTGACCTCAGGTGATCCACCCACCTCAGCCTCCCAAAGTGCTGGGCTACAGGCATGAGCCACAGCGTTTGGCCCTTTTTTTTTTTTTTGAGACGGAGTCTTATTCTGTCACCCAGGCTGGAGTACAGTGGCGCGATCTCGGCTCACTGCAGGCTCCGCCGCCCAGGTTCATGCCATTCTCCTGCCTCAGCCTCCCGAGTACCTGGTGCACACTGTCACGCCTGGCTAATTTTTTGTATTTTTAGTAGAGATGGGGTTTCACAGTGTTAGCCAGGATGGTCTCGATCTCCCGACCTTGTGATCTGCCTGCCTCGGCCTCCCAAAGTGCTGGGATTACAGGCATGAGCCATCTAATTTTGTATTTTTAATATAGAGAGGGTTTCACTATGTTGGTCAGGCTGGTCTTGAACTCCTGACCTCAAGTGATCCACCCACCTCAGCCTCCCAAAGTGCTGGGATTACAGGCGTGGGCCACCGTGCCCGGCCTGGATCTAGAAACTTTGATGACGATTAACATCTCCGTTTTACCAGCTAGTAAAGGATTCCAATTAGCTGGGCGATTACAGGCAAACAAAGCAGAACATGGAATTTCCCTGGAGTTTGGTTTATGTTCTATTTGCTTTCTTCCTTTCAGAGGGCTTTCAGGATCCTCCAACTTGCCCTTAAGATAAATCCCATGGTCTTTGCCCAGAGCAGGTATTTTCTAAAGATGTTCACATTTCAACCCATCAGTCAGGTCCTCTAGCTCAGAGTTCCCCATTTCCTATCAGAGGTCATTGCCTTTCAATAAGCAGCTGTTTACCCCCATCTTAGAGCTGCAGGAATGGTGGAAAGGAGGGAAGTGTTTCAGTTTACATCCTTCAATATGGTAAGCACATTTGGGGAGGAAAGGAAGAGGAGAGAGAGAGAGAGACTTTTGCTCTGCATGAGTGTCTGGAATGGATGACCTTTTAGGTTCCTTCCTCTTCTGAGATCATAGGATGCTATGGTTGTAGGGAGGGGCTCCGGCAGGAACTAGCTGGTGCAATGAGCACTATCTCACATCTCCTATATCCTACAGAACCCTCGGGAAAATTGGCCACATATTTCTTCTCTCCTATCCGAACAGGTCTGGCACTATGTTCTGATTTGAGAGGTGCTAAATACCGTCTGTTGGTTGGGACAGTCATAAAACCACTCGGCAAGTGGAAGTCAGCAACGGAGCCAACAGTGCCGACAGACACAGTGGCCTGTGTGACGGCCTCAGCGACTCTAATCCTGGTTCATGTGGCATCGTTCCCTTGGCTGGCCACTACTTTCCCGCAGCCACCCACTGGCACACCCTCAGACCTTGTCTGGGTTGAGCATGTACCTAAAAGTGCTGCCGCCTGGCTCCGTCCTCCAAAACTTCGGCTAAAGGAGCTGTGCCTACTTGCATAGGAGGCTGGCCGGCTAGGCAGCCAGGGCAGGAGAAAGGCAGGAATCTCAGAGTGCACGAGCTCTTCTGCCACAAAGGCCACCTCAAACCACTTGCGCTGGAAGCTGGCGAAGTCGTCCACTCCTGCTGTGTGCCAGGTGGTGGCGGGCTGCTGCATGGCCACTGGGAAAAGTGGAGGGGAGAGAAGGAGTACTCAACACAAATGCTTATTTTCTTCATGATGCATGCTACAACTTGATAAACCTTAAAAACACGCTAAGTAAAAGAAGCCGACACACAAGGCCACATACTGTATAGTTCCATTTATGTGAAACGTAGCAAATAGGCAAATCTTTGAGAAAGAAAGCAGATTATTGGTTGCTGGGGGTGGGAGGAGGAGTTGGAAGGTGACTCCTCAAGGGGATGGGGTTTCATTTCAGGGTGATGAAAATGGTCAGGAACTAGATGGACATGATAGTTGTACAACACTGTGGATGTACTAAATGCACTGAGCTGTTCATTTTTAAATGGTTAATTTTATATCATGTGAATTTCACTTCAATTAAAAATATATATGTATATATATATGTGTATATATATGTATATATATGTGTATATATATATACGTGTGTGTGTGTGTATATATATATATATATATATATATTTTTTTTTTTTTTTGAGACGGAGTCTCGCTCTGTCGCCCAGGCTGGAGTGGTGCGATGGCACGATCTCAGCTTACTGCAACCTCTGCCTCCCAGGTTCAAGTGATTCTCCTACCTCAGCCTCTTGAGTAGCAACATGCGCCACCACGCCCGGCTAATTTTTGTATTTTTAGTAGACGGGATTTCACCATGTTGGCCAGGCTGGTCTCAAACTCCTGACTTCAGGTGATCCACCTGCCTTGGCCTCCCAAAGTGCTGGGATTACAGGCGTGTGTCACCGTACCCGGCCCTAAAAAATATTTTATGCTCAGTTTATTTCTTTTTTTCTCTTAGAGACAGGGTCTGCACAGCTTTGCCAAGTCTTCAGTGCAGTGGTACAACCATGGCTCACTATAGCCTCAACCTCCTGGGCTCAAGCAATCCTCCCATTTCAGCTTCTTGAGTAGCTGTGAAGACCAGCATGTACAACCACACCCAGCCAATTTTTTTTTTTTTTTTCCTGTAGAGATGGGGTTTCGCTATGTTTCTTGCCCAGGCTGATCTTAAACTCCTGGCCTCAAGAGATCCTCATACCTCAGCCTTCCAAGGCGCTGGGATTATAGGCACGAGTCAGCACCACACTTGACCTTATGATCAGTTTCATACCTCAAATTTCAGAATATATAACAGTAACCTGGTATGTTTTCAACTTGAAGGTAAGATAGGTATCTACTGGTCAAATGTATAATTTAAAGGGAAAAGTGTCAATGGATATACAAAAAAATCCCACACACGTCCACTTCTGCCATATTCTTGGACAAGAGAGCATGGGGAGTGGCACTAGCTGCTTCATCTCATGTAAGATTCTTTTTTTTTTTTTTGAGATGGAGTCTCGCTCTGTCACGAAGCTGGAGTGCAGTGGCATGATCTTGGCTCACTGCAACCTCCACATCCCAGGTTCAAGTGATTCTCCTGCCTCAGCCTCCCAAGTAGCTGGGTCTACAGGCGTGCGCCACCACGCCCAGCTAATTTTTGTATTTTTTAGTAGAGATGGGGTTTCACCATGTTGACCAGGATGGTCTCGATCTCTTGACCTCATGATCCACCCACCTCGGCCTCCCAAAGTGCTGAGATTACAGGCGTGAGCCACCGCTCCCGGCCATGTTTGATTCTTTAAACCCAGAGGCAGAGAAGCCATTTGTCTGCAGGATAGGAGTCACTTCCAGAACAGGCAAGGTCCCCTTTTGCTATAGGTGTACTGGAGATGCTGGTCTGGTTTTCTGTTTTTGCTGTTTTTTTTTTTTTTTTTTTTTTTTTGAGATGGAGTCTCGCTCTGTCGCCAGACTGGAAGTGCAGTGGCGTGATCTCATCTTACTGCAACCTCCATCTCCCGGGTTCAAGCAATTCTCCTGCCTCAGCCTCCCGAGTAGCTGGGATTACAGGCGGCCACCACCATGCCCAGCTATTTTTTGTATTTTTGGTAGAGATGGGGTTTCACTGTGTTGGCCAGGCTAGTCTCCAACTCCTGACCTTGTGATCTGCCGGCCTTGGCCTCCCAAAGTGTTGGGATTACAAGCGTGAGCCACTGTGCCCGGCCTGTTTTTTTTTTTTTTTTTTTTTTTTTTTTTTTGAGATGGAGTCTCACTCTGTAGCCCAGGCTAGAGTACAGTGGTGTGATCTTGGCTTACTGCAACCTCTGCCTCCTGGGTTCAAGCGATTCTCCTGTCTCAGCCTCCCGAGTAGCTGGGATTACAGGTGCCTGCCGCCACACCCGGCTAATTTTTTTGTATTTTAGTAGAGGTGGGGTTTCATCGTGTTGCCCAGGCTGGTCTCGAACTCCTGAGCTCAGGCAATCCACCTGCTTCGGCCTCCCAAAGTGCTAGGATTATAGGCGTGAGCCGCAGTGCCCAGCCGGCTGTTGTTTTTGAGACGGAGTTTCACTGTCAACCAGGCTGCAGTACAGCAGCACAATCTCGGCTCACTACAACCTCCGCCTCCCGGATTCAAGCGATTCTCCTGCCTCAGCCTCCCAAGTAGCTGGGATTACATGCATGCACCACCACACCCGGCTAATTTTGTATTTTTAGTAGAGACAGGGTTTCCCAATGTTGGTCTTGAGCTCTTGACGTCAAGTGATCTGCCAGCCTCGGCCTCCCAAAGTGCTGGGATTACAGGTATGAGCCAGCATGCCCGGCAAGATGCTGGTCTGAATCTGGGGTGCCTCCAGTTATGTGAGTCAGCTCTGACCACGCTAAAAAAGTTTTCCCTCTGGGGAATTACTTTTTCCTCATTATTTAAAAAAACCAAACAAAAGAAAAAAAACCCCACAGATACTTAAAATATTACTTGGAAAACTTGCTAGGACTTGATAGTTTCCTGGGGTTAGAAATGGAGCCTGAACTGGAGATCTAGCAAGTGAAAAGTGCTATAAATCACAGACTGGAGCCCATGATAATATAATCAGAACCACCTGGGCTGGGTGGGCAAGGGGGTGGGGCACTCTAATTAAAAACAGCTACCAAAAACTGATGTGTGGGAATTTCCTCACACCAGGTCCCTTGGCCTCTTTTAGCTTTATCTTTCACCCACACTGTTCTCACCAAGAACACACTGTAGCTTAAGAAACCCTTGTCACTCTGGCTATGCTTAAATTAAGTACAAAGGCTCAAGGAAGTTGACAGATCTGTCAACTTATAATACAAAGTCACACATGCAGCTCAGGAAGCACCATCATGTGAAAGAGCAAGTCACCAGGAAAAACACTTGCCCCTGTGGGCAACCGCATTCGCCTCGGCTCTAACCTCGGTCGGGCTCTTTGTCCGTTACTATCTTGTAGAAATAGAAGCCGTAGATGAAGGTCCGCCAGGCTTCGCCAGATGCATGTGTGATGAGCTGCTCTTCCAGCATTTTCTAGGAGAGACATTGAAACTCTGAAATTCCTGCAGAGAGGCATCTTGAAGGGGCAGCCCTCAGTCATGCTCTGGAGACAAGGGAGTGACAGGAGCACTGAGGAGACCCTACCCTCCACCCCCAGATTAGACATGTTGTACTTGATATAAATTATATTTTAAAATGTAAACTCGTATCATCATCAAATATTTCAAACATGCAGAAGGGCATGAAGAAATTCAGATGGCCGGGAGCAGTGGCTCACGCCTGTAACCCCAGCACTTTGGGAGGCTGAGGGGGGTGGATCACTTGAGGCCAGGAGTTCAAGACCAGTCTGGCCAACATGGTGAAATCCCATCTCTACCAAAAATACAAAAATTAGCTGGTATGGTGGTGCATGCCTGTAATCCCAGCTACTCGGGAGGCTGAGGCAGGAGAATCACTTGAACCTAGGAGGTGGAGGTTGCAATGAGCTGAGATTAGCACTACTGCACTCCAGCCTAGGCGACGAAGTGAGACTCTGTCTCAAAAAAAAAAAAAAAAAAAAAAAAATCCACATATGCCACTATTCTACTTTCACAAATTTGACACTTCTCTATACTGATTTCAGATATTCTTATTAAAAAAAAATCTCCTTAGACTCTCCCACTCCCATTACTCTTTCTCTCTCCCCAGAAATAAATGGTTAGTGTAATATTATTCTTAAATAATTTTATTATATAAACACGTATGATAGAGAATATAAGGTATTCTTTCGGGATTCTAAGTTTTTAAATAAAGGGCATAATATTATATCATTTTATAAGTTGGTTTTCCAGTCCACATCATGCTTCTGACATTTATCCATGTTGATACATGTACCTTCAGCTCATTCATTTAAACTGCTGTAGTAGCATTTCATTATTTGAATAAGGAAATCGTATTCTCAGGGAGACGAGAGTGTATACGGCAAAGGCTGTGCAAAACAGCACATCAAGACCCTCAGAGTGAGAACTGAGAATCACATGCTTTTTCAAATCAGTTATCAATTTTAACATTTCCATGATGACAACTCAGCTGGTAAGGAAACAGTACTGACTTCCAGTTGGGGCCTCCGTATAGACAGGATGGCATGAACTGGCTCAGTCAACTGGCCGTTTCCCATTTCCTTGTTATTCCAGTTCTGCCATATTCCAGAGTTCCAGTTCTGAGCAGCGTAATTAAATCCAGCAAGCATGGTGCTAAGTGCCTACCAGGTGCCAAGCAACATGCCTGGCACTGGTGATACAGAAATGGAAAATAAGAGGTGATCCTGCTCTCAAGGAGCTGGTTGAGGCAGGAGACAAATGAGAGAAAGATCTTCATTCTGTTGTGCTAAGAGCTCTGACAGAGTAAGTACAAGGTGACAGAAGGCCCCTGGGTCAGAGCCTTGAATCCAGCATTGAGTCTTGAATAAGCATGCATTGACCAGGGGAAACTGGCGGCTTGAGGTCAGAGGGAGGGCATTCCCCCAAAAATCATAGAGATTTTTCTGAGGTTTATAAATGCACAGATTCTGTCCAAAACATTTCAGTTCAGACAATAAATTCTGCACGGTTTTTAAGTCAAGATACAGTGTATTTCAAAGCAAGACTTGTTCTTTCATCAATTCCAGAAAGGCCTCCCACTTATTAAAAAAAATCCTCACCCCAACCTGCAGATCTCATTACTGGAAAGGGTGATGGCTTCTAAGGCAGGCCCTGATTTTTCGGGACCTAAGCAAACAGCTCTATGGGCCCCTCTTGCTGTCTCACCTGCATGATGTCAATGGCCATCGCCTGTGTCTGGATCCCCTCCACGTGGTTCACCAACCAGTGTACCACCTCCGCGCTGATGAAGCAGTACGGTGAGAGGCCCTTCTGTTCAGAGAGCAGCTGGACTCCTGTCCTGGGTTCCAACACGGTGAACGGGGAGCAGGGGATGTGTGTGCCCCATGGCAACAAGTGGAAGGAAAGATGAAAAAGAAGGGACTCCCACTAGAGCATTTAATACCATAAAGCAATGTCCCTATGCTATTCCTAGACTCAGAGAAACACCCATGAGAGGACAAAAGAAACTGTTACCGGGGGCCCAGCGTGGTCGCTCACGCCTGTAATCCCAGCACTTTGGGAGGCTGAGGCGGGTGGATTACCTGAGGTCAGGAGTTTGAGACCAGCCTGACCAACATGGCGAAACCCCGTCTCTACTAAAAATACAAAAATCAGCTGGGCGTGGTGGCGGGTGCCTGTAATCCCAGCTAGTCAGGAAGCTGAGGTGGGAGAATCACTTGAACCTGGGAGGTGGAGGTTGCAGTGAGCTGAGATCGTGCCACTGTCCTCCAGCCTGGGCAACAGAGTGAGACTCTGTCTCAAAAAAAAAAAAAAAAAAAAAGAAGAAGTTGTTATGGGGAAAAAGGAGAAGGGGGAGAGAAAGGAAAAGATGGGAACTCACATTCGGAGAATACCTATACTTGTCAGGCATCATACTAGGTACCTCACATAATTATTTCATTTAATCTTTACATCAACCCTGTGGCTTAACTACTTTTTAAAAAATCCCTTTTAAAAAAATCCCATCTTGAGGCAGAGGTTGGGTGAGCCAAGATGGCGACACCGCACTCTAGCCTGGGTGACAGAGTGAGACTCTGCCTCAAAAAAAAAAAACAAAAAACAATTCCATCTTACAAACAAGGAAACAGAGGCTCAGAGAGGTCAAGTGACTTGCCCAAGCTCTCAAAACTGGTGAGAAGTACAGTCATGTACAAATCTACCAAACCACGCTGCCTAAACATGGCTGTGGCACAGGCTTCTGGGAACCTTCCAACCCTACACTGTGGTGAGCCACTTACGAGGGGTGCTTCATGGCTTCCAGGATCTCTGTCAGGGTAGAGGATGAGGTCAAGGAGCTTGCCACCAGCTGCTGAGAGCTGTAACACAGGGTGTCAGGTCAGCAAAGCAAGATGGCACGTATGCAGTCAAGAGCACGAATATTAGGAACAGTCTCCACTTCCTATGGAGCCAGAAACCAGGACAATGTTGACACTAAAGGCATTTTAGTAAATTCCAAACAGCTATATCAGGGGGTTATCTCATAGGGGGTTTCCTATTTTAAAATATACACATTTAGGGCCGGGTTTGGTGGCTTACGTCTGTAATCCCAGCACTTTGGGAAGCTGAGGCACGTGGATTATTTGAGGTCAGGAGGTCAAGACCAGCCTGGCAAACATAGTGAAATCCCGTCTCTACTAAAAATACAAAAATTAGCCAGGCATGGTGACGTGCGCCTGTTGTCTCAGCTACTTGGGAGGCTGAGACAAGAGAATCGCTTGAAACTGGGAGGTGGAGGGTGCAGTGAGCTGAGGTCGTGCCACTCATGCACTCCAGCCTAGGCAACAGAGCGAGACTGTCTCAAATAAATAAATAAAATAAAATAAAATAAAATAAAAAATGTCCACATTTAGAATTCAAAGTACTTTTGTGTCCAAACTTGCCCTTAGTAAGCATCTCTCCTTTTAATAATATTCCTCAGGCCCAAGGCCCAACCACTTCCAAGAAACCCCCTGGACTGCTCTGGGTTTGCCCCAAGAGCCTTTCACAGGTAGCTTCATTGAATCCTGACCAGAGTACTAGGTAACACCCTAAGAGCATGGGGAATGGAATCCCAGTATCATCACTAACCTGCTACATAGCTTTTCTTGGCCTCAGCGCCCCCATGTGAAAAATGGGGTTAATGCTGTTCCTGTCTTTGAGGGCTGATGTGAGGCGAATGTTTATACGATGCTGAGCACATGTACAGGGCTGACACACAGGAAGCCCAAAGTGGTAAACAATACTAAAATAATTAACACCGACCCTTTGAAACTGACTAAAGGAACTGCTGAAGGTCAAAGAGCCAGAAGTACCAGGATGTGGATCTGAATCCAGGTCAGTCTCTCTCCAAAGTCCTTTCCACCACCTGCTGCCCACATTCTTGCTCAAAGGTGTGATGGTCCCTTAAAACGTGCTTAATACTCAGCAGCTGAGTGGCCACCCACTATACCGAACTGGGCCAGCTGTGGGGCTTATCCAGAAGCTCCTCAAGTTCTTTGAACTTCTCCCTTTCCTCAGTCCCAGACTACTCTTCATGACTATTCAGAGGGTCCAGAAATCACTGGAAGTGTTTCAGAATTTCAGGGTTAGAAAAAGTTTTCAAAGACCCTTGAAATGAACTTCCTTCTAATGCCTGAGTCTCTGCTGAGACCACGTGTCTGGGCAAGAGGCTGTCCTATCTGTGTGAACATCTTCAATGGCAAAGAACTTGGCACCTCTAAGTGCAGCCCATTTCCGTGCAGCAGGACCCACTGCTAGTAAGTTCTTCATCATGAAATAGAATCTGTTCTCTGTATTTTTCAGTCATTGGTCCTGATTCTACCTGCCATGTCATTTTTGGTCTTTTCACCTCCAGCCTAAATATCCCCGATTCCTCATTTCTTCTGAAAGCAGAAGTAAACCTACTGTTCTACCCTTGTAAGCAATGAGGAAGCAGATTTTTTCTATGCATTGGGCAGCCTCTCCAATCTCCTCCACGCCTACAGCCAAAAAGCCAGGTAGGCTTGATGGGTATAAGGGCATGAGCGAAGGCAGGGAGCAGAGAAGTTCAGACCTGCTCCTGCTTCTGAAATGACCATCACCTCTACTGGCCAGAATGAACAGGCTGCAGTAGATGAGACACAGATTACACCAGCACAGAATTTATGACATAAGGGAAATGGAGTGACTCCTGACAGAGGCCAGCCAGGTGAGCAGCCCCAGAGAACTTTCTGCTCTCAGGGCAGGGGTATAAAAGTTAAGTCTCTTAGATGATTTTGCCAAGGACTGCTTCGTCAATACAGTGAGACAATAAGAAAAGACTGCGGCATAATTACTATAAAGCAAACACAGCTGGGAAGAAAATAAAACGGTTTCTCAGAATTGACAACAGTAGTAAAAGCTGGTGCACTTGCTCGAGCAAATGAAGTACACACAGCTTCCTTTTCCTCCGGATACTAAGGAATAGAAGAAGAACAGTCATGTTTGGCCACAATTAGTGATTCATCCACTGTTTGTTCTTTTCCTTACTGACAGCATGCTATGACGTGCAAGACATTGTGCCACAGGCACCACAGTGAACAAGACAGACTGGACAGAGCCCCCTTCCGGAAGCCCTGTACTCCTGTGTGGTGCCTGACACTTTCCTACATCTCTGTGGGAACCTCTTAGCTATCCTGTGAGGATGGCAGGAAACAGATCATTAGTCCCATCATACAGATGTGGTTAAGGACTAACTTGCCCAGGGTCGCATGTGACTTGTGGCAGAGTCAGAACTCGGCCCAGAGCTTTGGACTTCAGCCTCTGCAGCCTTTGAGATCAGACTGTCCCCACTCCCCAGGAACATGAGTTTGGCCACTCTGAATCTCACCTGCTGTCACTGGAGTTTGTGGAGGAGTAGCCCTGTTCTCCTATGTTCTGGGAGTTCCCAAAGGTCTGGCTGTTGCCTCTGTCCATGGATTGGCCTGTGCATATGCCCAAACTGGTGCCGTCCAACATAGGAGTGGCTGTTTGGTCCACAGATACCTGCAGGAGATTTAAAAATGAATACTTGATTCCAAAAATAACTGACAGGAAAACACAGTAAATAAGCTGTACTGGCTTATTCACTCAGTAAGCATTCACAAAAAATAAACAAAAATTAATGCAATCCTTCCCATTCTGCTCATTCCCACTACCCCTTGGTCCCTAGTGGCACAGCTAAAGTTGTCTAGAGACTCTACCCAGTCTTGTGTGCACTGCCTTCTATCAGAGCAGCTGGGAACTCCCACCCTCCAACCAGGGCAGATGAGAGGCCACTCTTCACAGTAAATCCCCAGGACCAAAGAAATCGCTTCAGCACCTGCCTCAAACCACACGATTTACACTAAAGAAAAATCTCCATAGAAAGAGTGGAGAAGTCAGAATCACTCCTTATGAGGACAGCAGGACTGAAAGACCACATTTAGAGACAAATAGGTGAACATCACAATGTACATCTTCTGCCTACCGTGACTCACCCTTTCCCACCCAAAACCTCCTTTCTTCTACCTTTCAGTTTGCTCAGGTTCAACTCTCAGAGCCATCTGATAGCTCTCTTCTCCAGCTTTGCATCTAAAGACAGGCCTAGTCCCACGGCCTGCCCTCTGCAGATTCACATGCATCTCTAAATCATGCCTGTACTTCCTCTGGCCAGGGAGGGCTGTAACATTCTTCTAAATAGCCCCTGATTGCAGCCTCTCCCTCAAAAACCCTCCCTGTGAGCCAGCTCCATTTGCATCGTCTGTCAAGAACAGTTCCAATCCCATCATTCTGTTACTCTGAAAACTTTCAAGTCTCCCCATGAACCACCACACTGAAAACCGACTCACAGGACATCACGGGTCCTGCACAACATTGGCTTGACCTGAGATCTCACCACACTGCCTACCATTCACCCATGTGTATGTGTCCAGCCAAATGACACCGTGTGTGTATAAATCCTGTCTATGTGCCCCATATCGCCCTGGGGTGCTCTTCTCCACAACTAGTGGCTAAAAACCTATCAGTCTTTTTTTTTTTTTTTTTTTTTAAAGACAGACTCTTGCTCTGTCACCGAGGCTGGAGTGCAGTGGCGCAATCTCGGCTCACTGCAACCTCTGCCTCCTGGGTTCAAGCGATTCTCCTGCCTCAGACTCTCAAGTAGCAGGGATTACAGGTGGGAGCCACCACACCTGGCTAATCCCATCAGTCTTTAGGGCCATTTTAAACGCTGCTCCCTTAGCAAACTGTTCCGATTCAGTCCGCCCGAGGCCTCAAGGAGATCCATCTCCCTCTCTACTCTGGACCTCTATGAGCTTCTGGTAGCTGCCAAGCTGTGCCTCATGTAATGGTGCTGCATCTTTTTTTTTTTTTTTCCAGAGACAGGGTTGCCCTCTTTTGCTCAGGCTGGAGTGCAATGGTGCCATCACATCTCACTGTAACCTCAAACTCTTGGGCTCAAGCAATCCTCCTGTCTCAGCCTTCCAAGTAACTGGGACTACAGGCATGCGCCACCATACCTGACTTTTTTTTGTGTGTAGAGACAGAGTCTAGCTATGTTGCCTCGGCTGATCTCAAACTCCTGGGTTCAACTGATCCTTCCGCCTCAGCCTCCCAAAGTGCTGGGATTACAGCCTGTAATGTTGTTATATCACCTTTAAGGGTCCTGGAGGCAGGATTATAACCTGTTCACCCGGAAGCCCAGCAGCATGCATCAAAGATTATACCCAGAGCAAGTATATGAAGAGAATGACTAAGTCTTTTAGAGCAATTCTGGAAAAGTGTAAGGCTCTTAGAACCTCCTAACTTGAGGTTTTTAGGTACTTCCAGAAGGGATCTTTCTATCAGATATTTTGTTAGCAAAAATTGCTTTCTAAAACAAAGCTTCTCAGCTGGGTGCGGTGGCTCACGCCTGTAATCTTGGCACTTTGGGAGGCGAAGGCGAGTGGATCACTTGAGTCCAGGAGTTCGAGGCCACCCTAGGCAACACGGTGAAACCCCATTTCTACAAAAAATGCAAAAATTAGCCAGGCGTGGTGGCACACGCCTGTAGTCCCAGCTACTTGGGAGAGTGAAGTGAGAAGACTGCTTCACCCGGGAAGCGGAGGTTGCTGTGAGCTGGGATCCTGCCACTGCACTCCAGCCTGGGCGACAGAGAGAGACCCTGTCTCAAAAAAATAAATAAATAAAATGAAGAAAATAAAACAAGGCTTCTCAGTCTCAGCAGTATTGCCCTCTGGGGTCAGATAACTGTTTGCTGTGGGGGGCTGTCCTGTGCATTGCTGGATGTTCAGAAGCATCCCTGGCTTCTACCCACTTGATGCCAGTAATACTATCAGCCCCAACCCCCAATTATGACAAATAAAAATGTCTCCAGATATTACCAAATGTCCCTTGGGGGGTAAAGTTCCTCCTGGTTCTCATAGAACCATTTTGCTGTTCTATAGCAGGCTCAATGATTTGTTAAAAAAATAACAATAATAATAAAAAGGACCACACAGGTTTTGCTGGCACCATAAACACACAGAGAAATGCAGCAAGAGACAGCTTGCAATTACCAATTACCACCTGCCTCTAACCAGTAAGGTTTACCATGCTGTAAATTTAAATGAGACCATGCCGTAAATTTAAATGAGAATAAGCTAACTAAAGGGGACTAGAACCAGCTCTTATGCATATAAGAGTGGCTCTTAGGCATTGCCTTCTGGGCCCCTGTAGTGGGGTTCTCTCATGTACTATAACAAGAATTGCTCTACCAGCCTAACGTGAAGGCCATTACCAGAAATGCACATTAGTCCTGCAGTCCTATTTTGGTGGGAGCCGGGGTAGGGGGTGGTTAAAGAGTTGTCCTCTGGATCAGGAATTGGGAAACATTTTTTGCAAGAGACCAGAGAGTAAATATTTCAGGCTTTGTGGGCCATAGGGTCTCTGTCACAACTACTCAACTTTGAGTAAGAAAGTGAGAAAGCAGCCACAGGCAATATGTAAATGAATGGGTGTGGCTCTATTACAATAAAACTTCATTTACAAAAGCAGATGGTAGACCAGATCTGCCCTATAGTTTCCTGACCTCTGCTCTATCTATGTATCACACAATGTGTATCTTTTAAGAGGCTGCACAGAAAAGGCATTTTGTTTAGATCCTAATACCAGGAAAAGGTATGCTTCTCCCAAGGAATCTGGTTGTCTTTATTTTATAACCACTATGAGTCTTGGAACAGAGGTTTCCCACTTTTCTTTGGCTACCAGGAGGTTCAGAGCTGAATTTGGCACAAAATTCTATCTACTTTACAAGGCCTTATATTACATCCTGTCTTATTTTTTTTCTTTACCTGAATTTCCCCCATCTAGTCATGTTTTTATTTTAGGGGTTGCATTTACTTCCATGATCCACATGAAATAACTTTTTGGAATAAGATCAGTGGTGAACAAAGATAAATAGCAGGTAGGATGGAGAGAATGGCAGATGTCGCACGTAGATTCCTGGCAAAGAGCCAAGTAAAGGGAGATGCCTTTCATCTTAAGAATCTTATGAACCTTGTCCGAAAAAAGGACTCCACTGAACATATGTAGATACTCCCCCCTCCGCTTTAGAGTGGGCTAGACTTAGTGATGTGCCTCCAATAAATGGAGTATAAAAAAGGAAAACATAGTAACTTCATAGTAGAGATGGCTAACAAATATGACATTAACCAAGTGATGAAGGAGTGATGAAGATTATCGTCGCCAGTGATGTTGTGTGGATCTCAGGTACCTACTGATGTGATGTGATGAGAAGGGCACTTCCCCTCTGGGGTATTCTTTTTGAGTATCTGTAACTCCAGTCTAACCATGAAAAAAAACCTCGGACAAACCCAGATTTGGGGACATTCTACAGGACACCTGGCCAGGACTCCTCAAGGCTGTGAAGGTCATTTTAAAAAGTAAGGAAAGGGCTGGGCGCGGTGGCTCACACCTGTAATCGCAGCACTTTGGGAGGCCGAGGTGGGCGGATCACAAGGTCAGGAGATGGAGACCATCCTGGCCAACATGGTGAAACCCTGTCTCTACTAAAAATACAAAGATTAGCTGGGCATGGCAGCGTGTGCCTGTAATCCCAGCTACTTGGGAGGCTGAGGCAGGAGAATCGCTTGAACTCGGGAGGCGGAGGTTGCAGTGAGCTGAGATCACGCCACTGCATTCCAGCCTGGCGACAGAGCGAGACTGTCTCAAAAAAGAAAGAAAAATGTAAGGAAAGCCTGAGAAACAGTCACAGATTAGAAGAGACTGGGAAGCCAGGCAATGTGGTACCCAAGATTGGATCCTAGAATAGAAAGAAGACATTAATTGAAAAAAATGGCAAAATCCAAGTCTGGCGTTTGATTAAAAAAAAACCAAACCTCTCAGCAGCAGCACCAATCCCCAATTTCCCCCCACTTTCTGGCACTCCCAAGCTACAGGAGAAAGTAAGGGAGGGAACCCTGTTAGAGATGCCTCTGAGATTAGCACCACCCACCACAGGCATCCCCCATGGGTCTTCTACCTTCCACCTCGTGGGCTTGTCACAGCCCCACTTTCTCATGCTGGTGGGTCATCAGCTACAAGGAAACAGCTGGATCTGCCAGCCCAGCTCTCCACTGTGCCTGGAGGCTGGTAGAGATGACACTCCCCTTTGTCTTACCCGGAGACAAATGGGCTAAGTGGGCTCCTGCTTTCCAGTCACTCAGCTCCTGCCACGCAGACAGAGGCATTGCAAAGGGATCCACAACAGAATCCCATATGCCTTGCAGAGAGGGAAAGCTTGGGAATAACTTGCAGACCCACAGCTCAGATGTTCTCCAAGGTTAAGATTAGGGAAGGGGAATATTATCCCAAATTAAAACCTTCTCTCTGCCCTCATGAAGCTTGCCATCTAGCGGTGAGCAAAGACAGGCATTAATATTCATAAAGGATTTTATTCATCCCTGTTATTTCCCACAACACTTGGCACAGCCCTACACCCAGCAGGTGCTTGGAATTTGCTATCTCAATTGATATGAATTTTGTCACAGAGGCAGCCTCCTTCCTCTATGTGTCCATCCTAACCCCTCGCTCCAAATGGTTATATATATATGTTTTGTTTTGTTTTGTTTTGTTTTGTTTTGAGACAGGTCTTGCTCTGTCGCCCGGGCTGGAGTGCAGTAGCACAATCATGGTCACTGTCCCCACCTCAACCTCCCAGACTCAAGCACTCCTCCCTCTTCAGTCTCTCAAATAACTGAGACCGCAGGCATGCACCACGACACCCAGCTAATTTATTTTTATTTTTTGTAAAGACAAGGTCTCACTGTGTTGCCCAGGCTGATTTCAAACTCCTGGACTAATAGGGATCTTCCTGCCTCCACCTCTCAAAGTGCTGGGATTACATGCGTGGGCTGCTGCGCCTGGCGTTACTTATATTTTTACATCTTACATCATTCCAAAAAAGGTGAGGCTACTAATAAACAGACATACAATAAGATAAAAAAAATACGGCTGGGTGCGGTGGCTTACGCCTGTAATCCCAGCACTTTGGGAGGCCGAGGCGGGTAGATCACCTGAGGTCAGGAGTTCGAGACCAGCGTGGCCAACATAGCAAAACCCCGTCTCTACTAAAACTACAAAATTAGGCCAAGCGCGATGGCTCACTTCTGTAATCCCAGCACTTTGGGAGGCCAAGGCGGGTGGATCACTTGAGGTCAGGAGTTGGAGACCAGCCTGGCCAGCATGGTGAAACCCCATCTCTACTAAAAATACAAAAAAAATATCTGGCTGTGGTGGCAGATGCCTGTAGTCCTAGCTACCTGGGAGGCTGAGGCAGAAGAATCACTTGAACCCAGGAGGCGGAGGTTACAGTGGGCTGAGATCGCACCACTGCATTTGAGCCTGGGCAACAGAGCAAGACTCCATCTCAAAAAAAAGTGAGATCCCAGTACTTTGGCCTCCCAAAGTGCTGGGATTATAGGCTTGAGCCACCACGCATGACTGAGAAATGGATATTATTTCTAATCCTCAGAACAACCCTACAAAGAAATTATTTTTTATTTCCTTTTACAAATGAAGAAATACACACAGTAAATAAATAAATATATAAATATATATATATATATATATATATTTTAATGAAGAAACAGGTTCAGAAGGTTAATTCATGTGCCTAACACAGCTCCCTAACATTGCACAGAGGTCAAGATTTGAAAGCAGCCATCTGGGCCAGGTGTGGTGGTGGCTCCTGCCTGTAATCCCAGCACTTTGGGAGGCTGAGGCAGGTGGATCACCTGAGGTTAGGAGTTCGAGAGCAGCCTAACATGGTGAAACCCCATTTCTACTAAAAATACAAAAAATTAGCCGGGCATGGTGGTGCATGCCTGTAATCCCAACTACTAGGGAGGCTGGGGCAGGACAATCACTTGAACCCGGGAGGCAGAGGTTGCAGTGAGCAGAGACTGCGCCATTGTACTCCAGCCTGGGCAACAAGAATGAAATTCCATCTCAAAAAAAAAAAAAAGAAAGCATCCAACTGACTCCATTGGCCTCCCTCCTCCATTCTATGCTGCACATCAGAAAATACACAAAGCAAGTTTTATGTTGTGTATTTTACCACAGTAAATAATAAATAAACATAAGGTACAATTTAATTTTGTGTATGTATAATGAGCTCTTACTACTTCTGATATAATTTTTTTTTGTTTTTTTTCAGATGGAGTCTCACTCTGTTGCCCAGGCTGGAGTGCAGTGGCACAATCTCGGCTCACTGCAACCTCTGCTTCCTAGGTTCAAGCAATTCTCCTCCCTCACCCTCTCAAGTAACTGGGACTACAGGCGCACGCCACGAGCCCGGTCTAATTTTTGTATTTTTATTAGAGATGGGGTTTCACCATATTGACCAGGTTGGTCTCGAACTCCTGACCTCAAGTGATCTGTCTGCCTTGGCCTCCTAATATAATTTTTTTATGTATATATTTTTAAAAAATTACAGACAGGGTTTTACGATATTGTCCAGGCTGGTCTTATTCTCCTGGGCTCAAGTGATCTTCCCACCTCACTTCCTGCCTTTTCAACAAAACACCTGGTGGGTAATATAATCCTTATTTGTGTGCCTCTCCTGAGTCTAAAACTTTCCATAACAGTCTCCTATAAGAATGTAAAAGGTGGCCAGGCACAATGGCTCACGCCTGTAATCCTAGCACTTTCAGAGGCCAAGGTGGGCGTATCACCTGAGGTCAGGAGTTCAAGACCAGCCTGGCCAACATGGCGAAACCCCTTCTCTACTAATAATACAAAAGTTAGCCGGGCGTTGTGGTGCACACCTGTAATCCTAGCTACTGGGGAGGCTGAGGCAAGAGAAATGCTTGAACCTTCGAGGTGGAGGTGGCAGTGAGCTGACATTGAACCACTGCACTCCAGCCTGGGCAGCTAGAGTGAAACTCTGTCTCAACACAAAAACAAAAAACCACAAAGTAAAAGGTTAATGGCCAGACACAGTGGCTCATGCCTGTAATCCCAGTGCTTTGGGAGGCCAAGGCAGGAGAATCACTTGACACCAGGAGTTGACCAGCCTGGGCAACATAGCAAGACCCTACCTCTAAAAAAATAAAAAATTAGCTGTGTATGGTGGTTCATACCTATACTCCCAGCTACTTGGGACGCTGAGGCTGGACTCCAGCCTGGACAACCGAGTAAGATACTACCTCTAAAAAAAAGAAAGTAAAAGGTGAAAAGGATCAACCAATGTTTGTTTTAAACCAAAAACACAGTGTGCTACCCACACTCAGATTTTAGAGATGCTTAGATTAGGACTCAAAGGTCCTTACAGGGATTTGCCTATGGTTACACAGCTCACTGGGAAGAGGCAGGTGGGGATATCCGAAGACCTACACAGAAAGGCATGGTACCTCTGACCTGTTCCAATGTTAACTAAACCCTTACCCTCCCAGTGCAGTGGGCAGAATGATATAAGAGCTCAGTCACTCACTAGCTATATGCCCACTAACCAGCTAACAACTTTTTCTTTTCTCATTTTAAAAAATTCTATTTTGTTATTATTATTTTTTTTGAGATGGACTCTGGCTCTGTCGCCAGGCTGGAGTGCAGTGGTGCAATTTTGGCTCACTGCAACCTCTGCCTCCTGGGTTCAAGCGATTCTCCTGCCTCAGCCTCCTGAGTAGCTGGGATTACCAGCATGTGCCACCATGCCCGACTACTTTTTGCAATTTTAGTAGAGATGGGGTTTTGCCATGTTGGCCCAGCTGGTCTCAAACTCCTGACCTCAAGTGATCCTCCTGTCTTGGCCTCCCAAAGTGCTAGGATTACAGGCGTGAGCCACTGTGCCTGGCCTCGTCCAAATCTTTTATTTTTATTTATTTATTTATTTATTGAGATGGAGTTTCGCTCTTGTTGCCCAGGCTGGAGTGCAATGGCACGATCTCGGCTCACTGCAACCTCCACCTCCCAGGTTCAAGCAATTCTCCTGCCTCAGCCTCCCGAGTAGCTGGGATTACAGGCATGCACCACCACGCCCAGCTAATTTTTTGTATTTTTAGTAGAGATGGGGTTTCTCCATGTTGAGGCTGGTCTCAAACTGAACTCCTGACCTCAGGTGATCTGCCCGCCTCGGCCTCCCAAAGTGCTGGGATTACAGGCGTGAGCCACCGCACCCGGCTCATCCAAATCTTTTAACTGACAAATAATTTAAGTGAAATCCAGAAGCTAGGTGAGCTACACCTTTGGCCTATGCATTAGCACATGCCTATGAATAAATATTTGCTGTGTTTTTTCACCACTTCCTGCCACACTGTTATAAATTTATCTGGTTGTATTGGGAGGGGAAAAAAATAAGTGTTCAGCCCTTAACTAAGCATATTTCATGTTGCTCATAAAACCTAAAAGTGAAGATGCTGCAAAGTGGCAGAGAATCAGTGACAACTATGTGAAACAGACAGTGATGAGAAACACTTGAGTCATCACTGGTACAATCATATGTTCTTCTACATTAACCTCTTCCATCCCCCCCTTCGCCGCCACAAACAACATGGAAGAGAATGTACAATTCTGAGACCAAATTCAAGTTCAACTGCCCCCCAAACTTAGTTGCAGCCCAATTCCATGTGTTCAGAGCCTAACAGAAGGCCAGCTCATGGCGTCTGCCAGTGGGACAGGCATGCGAAGCCCTGGAGTTGGACTAACCTGAGGGTAGAAGGCGGACGATGCTGTGCGTGGGCTGCGGACAAACTCCATAAAGAAGGCCCCGTCCTGAAGTCACAGGAGGAGGAAGCAGCAGCAGCAGTTGCAAGGAAGCGAAGAAACGGAATGTGTACCAGTGGTTAACCATCAGGGGAAGGAGACAGGTATAAAAAACAAAAAATAAAAATAAAAACAAGGAGGGAAGGAGAGAAACAAGGACATATGAAGAGGATAGGGAAAATTAAAAAAAAAAAAAAAGAGAGAGAGAGAGAGAGCGCCACCCAGAAAGACAATATCCAAATGCGAAGCATTAGCAGAAACTCACACCTTCCTGGGCAGAATATCCCATCTGTGTGGGAGAAAGCACCCAGGTTGGAAGGTGTGTCCAAGCTCTCTCAGGTCTCATCAGAGTGTGGCTTGGATGCTCTCACCCTCCCACATAGCTCTGAAATTCCTTCAGACCTATGCCAAGGAAGATGAAAAGGCCGCAGAGCAGCTTGGTGGGGCTGCAGGGTAAGGGCTTTGGTGGCAACATCCTGGCCTCCCACCTGGCTGGGTGACCAGTCGCCCTCTTGGAGAGATACATTGAGCCAGGAGGTTTTTTCTGCCTGTTACTAAACATGGGCAGCCAGATGGGAGGAGAGGATTCAAGGCAGGGTAAGTTCTTGCTTAGTTTTTTTTTAGCAAACAGGGGATACAGAAGCAGCCATACCTTCTCCTCCACTGGTTGTGTAACAAAATCATCAGCAAGCTAAGACATATATAATGTCAGATACACAAGCACTCACATTGTGAGGGGCTTTCTAAAGCTGTCATTCCCTCCCTACCCTACCCTTGTGGAATTCAAGCAGCCATGTCTGTGAAACAAAAATGACACGGAGGACTTTTTCAATGACCCCTCCTTCCATCATTCTTAAGTAGTACCCTCTTTCCTTTCGGAATCTTTTTACTTTTTATGTCTGGTTATCATAGAAATTCAGGAATGGCACTTGACACATCTCAAGTTCTCTGCTTTTCTGGAACTTTTCCTCAATTCCAAAGGTAGAATAACTGAAATATTTGGGTGCCCATTTTATTGATACTGCTGCCACTTCCCGTAAGTGACTGCAAACTCCAATACGAAACCTTGGAAACTTGTGGCTGCGGAGATGCTGATGCAGGTACCCCCAACGCATTCTAACATGAAGTGTTCCTTGGGGAAACAGTTGGGCATTTCTGAGCATGTCAGCAGGGCTCTCTGCTTTGGCCATCTCATAGCATTTTGTTTCCCCTGACTATTCAGGAGTTTACTTCCAGCCCTACTGATGGGTCATGCATGTGGATTTTAGCGTTCACCTGGACAATCAGGAGAGGGTTCTAAACAGCAATCTAATATATTTGCGACTATAATTTCTCTGCTTTTCAGTCATGTCCTCAGCACTGTTTCTGACCCTCAAAGATGGCAATGAGTAGAGGCAAAACCTGGTGGACAGCACACAGGGTAATTTTATCTCATTGTTCCACTGTGTCCCTTCTAACTGCCAGAACATATAGAAGCAGAGGTGCTGATGGTGTTGAGGTTTATGTACATGTGAAGGAGTTCAGGTGAAAAGACTCATGGTCAGCAGATCATTCCTTACACACAGACTGTCCTTGGTACCTAATGCCACTCCCTAGAGCAGCAGTTGGTAAACTACAGCTTGCAGGCCAAATCTGGCCAGCCCTCTGATTTTTTTACAGCCAGTGAGCTAAGAATGGTTTTTACGGCTGCGCATGGTGGCTCACGCCTGTAATCCCAGCACTTTGGGAGGCTGAGGTGGGTGGATCACTTGAGGTCAGGAGTTTGGGACCAACCTGGCCAACACGGTGAAACCCTGTCTCTACTAAAAATAAAAAAAATTAGCTGGCCATGGTGGTGCACGCCTGTAATCCCAGCTACTGGGGAGGCTGAGGCAGGAGAATTGCTTGAACCCGGGAGGCTGAGGTTGCAGTTGCAGTGAGCCAAGACTGTGCCACTGCACTTCAGCCTGGGTGACAGAGCAAGACTGTCTCAAAAAAAAAAAAAAAAGCCGGGCGCAGTGGCTCACGCCTGTAATCCCAACACTTTGGGAGACAGAGGCAGGCGGATCACGAGGTCAGGAGATCAAGACCATCCTGGCTAACACAGTGAAACCTTGTTTCTACTAAAAAATACAAAAAATTAGCTGGGCGTGGTGGCGGGCGCCTGTAGTCCCAGCTACTTGGGAGGCTGAGGCAGGAGAATGGCGTGAACCCAGGAGGCAAAGCTTGCAGTGAGCCGAGATCGCGCCACTGCACTCCAGCCTGGGCAACAGAGTGAGACTCCGTCTCAAAAAAAAAAAAAAAAAAAAAAAAAAAAACAAAGGAATGGTTTTTACAACTTTAAATAGTTATGGAAATACTATACTTACACAATAGCTTTGCTTTGCCTCTTGGCCACAAAGTCTAAAATATGTATTTAGGTTTGCCAACGTTTGGTTTACAAGTTGCCCACAGCCTTGGCTGATACTTCTTCTCAGATTTTTATCCCTCTACCCATGTAGTGTAATTACAGTATTTATGCTAAGGAATTATCAGTGGTGTGGTCAAATGATTATTCCAAGCATATTCACTGCAACATTATAACTGTGGTATACTGTAGAATAATTCTTAAAGTTTATAGAAAAATACCAAAAATCATTTAAAAATCACCATCTACAATTTTAACCAAAAGAAGTTATAAATTAAGGCATATTCATATGATAAAATGATATATAGCTATTTTTTTCTTTGGGGTTGCTTAGGGGAAAAAAAACGAAAGAAAAAAGTATATAATTATTTTTAAAAATCATGCTTTTGTAAAACATTTAATGACATGAGAAATTTTCATGATATGGAGGTAAAATAAACACAGATATACCATTTGACCACAATTTTGAAAAATAACATATATGTATTGAATCTCCTTCATCTCCCAGTGATAGGGACAAGAGAGAGGTAAGTACAGTCAGCTTGTCCTATCACAACAGAATGATCTGAATCTGAATTTCCCAGAAGGAGCTGACAGAGCCAAGTCTATTGGTCTTAAAAGACCCATGGAGTTTTTGGCTTCTTTATTGTACTTGTTCCTGATAGAGGCCTAAAGTCTCAGGTTTTCTGTATTTTCCCCCCACCCCAGGATACTCCCATTTGACTGTATTTCTCAGCAGTCTGAGAAAACTGATGGGAATTTCATTATCAAAGAAGAGCGAGCTCTGGTGGAAGCTACTTCAGTAGCTTTCTATTCCCCTCTGGGAAAGCTAAAGATGAGGGTGAAGGAAAACCAGACGGCCAAATACAAAGCTCAGGCCAGATCTTGGGCATTGAACCAAAGAGGTTTAGCTTAACTGTTGTATTTTATTTTTTTGAGGCAGGGTCTCACTGCGTCACCCAAGGCTGGAGCGCAGTCGTGTGATCATGGCTCACTTCAACCTCAACCTCCTGGGCTCTAGGGATCCCCTCACCTCAGCCTTCTGAGTAGCTGAGACTACAGGTACACACCACCACATCTAGCTAATTTTATTTTTAATTTTTTTAAGAAATGGTGTCTCCTTATGTTGCGTATGCTGGTCTCAAACTCCTGGGCTCAAGTGATCCTCCAGCCTCGGCCTCCCAAAGTGCTGGGATTACAAGCATGACTGACCGTTTTATATCCGGATTTAACTAGAAGTTAGCTTCCTTACAACTGTGAATAAGAAAGTCCCTATATAAAAGTAGTAACAGTAATAGAACCTTTAAAGGGTTCAGGGTAGAATTCATCCAAAGCCTCTGCACATGCAATCCCGGATCTGAAGGGCGATCTGTTTTACCCTCCACACTGAGTCTCTGAGAGCACAGAACAGCTCCCTGCTACCGCGGCTTCCTTTACCTTTCGTGGGCTGTCCATGTAGGTGGGAGTCATGGCAACGCTGCTGCTCTCGGCTGACTGGGCGGAGCTCTTCCCACCATGCACAGCTGCCTGCTGTTCTCCCAGGCACCTGAAAGGAGGAAAAGCACATGACAGCAGCTTGCTCAGAGCTCCCTGGTGAAGGATCCATGTCGGCCAAGATGCAGACAGCTCTGTTGCTGTCATCTTTGAAACACACACTTCTGCCTTGTTTCCCTTTCCAGACCTTCATGATACCCTTAATTTCATTCATTGTGCTGAACAATCACCAGTCCTCCACAGTAAATCAGAAAATAGCCCAACTTTAAAAGCATTCTGGCAGCATCTGGTGCTTATATATGACCTTAAAAAGGGGACTGACATGGTTTGAGTGACTGTCTGTGAACACCATTTTTAAAATTCTTGTAAAAGTACTTTTTTCTCAATTTTTATTTAATATACCAGCAAAAGCACATTCTGAATGTTAAGACTGTGTGGTGGCTCATGCCTGTAAACCCCGCACTTTGGTAAGCCAAGGTGGGTGGATCATCTGAGGTCAGGGGTTTGAGACCAGCCTGGTCAACATGGTGAAACCCCATCTCTACTAAAAATACAAAAAATTAGCCCGGTGTGGCAGTGCACGCCTACAGTCGCAGCTACTCGGGAGGCTAAGGCACGAGAATCACTTGAACTCAGGAGGCAGAGGTCGCAGTGAGCTGAGATGGTGCCACTGCACTCCAGCCTGTGCGACAAAACAAACAAACAAACAAACAAACAAACAAAAAACTGCATTAACATGCAGCATAAAACAGGAGAAGATGTGTTAATTCTCTATACATTTTGAAGGGATTTATAGGTTAATCTTTCAAATGTACATAGCTACATCACCCTCCAAACCAAACTAACAGACATTATCTCATAACGCAAGACAAATACAGTATCCTTACGACATCTCACCCCATCTCGGTTCTGATGTACATGAATGAATATTTTCATGTTTATTTTCCTAATTTTTTTCTGTTCTAAAATTAACTACACTTTATTTTAGATTAAATTATGTTGCTTTAATATATCACTGTTTTATTGTTAGGTTTCAGAAGGCTCACACTGAAGTCTTAAGTGCTTCATTATTACTATAATATATATTACTTCTTGTGATGGACAGTGCGAGGCAGGTCCCAGCCCCCTCCACCATGGCCTTGTTGTTGTCCCAGCACTGAGAGGGCTGTCTAGGAGGCTCTGTCTCAGTTGTTGGCCCCTTCAGGGACAGCCCCAGCTGCATGGGCTGCCATAGGCAATGAAGTGTGTGTGTGTGTGTGTGTGTCATAGGCAATGAAGTGTGTGTGTGTGTGTCATAGGCAATGAAGTGTGTGTGTGTGTGTGTGTGTGTGTGTGTGTGTGCGCGTTGGCCCAACTCAGCACATCTCTGAGGGCTGTTCCAGTGGGATCTCCTGAGGCTGTCACTGGGTCTGGGCTGTAGTCCAGCTTCTCTTGGCACCCACTCCGGTTTCTTCCCCATCTCTCCCACAGGTGTTGTGCCCAAGGGCTCTCCTTAATAAGCATCCTATATGCTACACCCCATCTCAGTCCGCTTCCCTGAGAACCCAATTTGCAACACTTTTCTTATCTTAAATTCTGACACTTTTGTTACTCAATGAGAAGTAATCACATACCAGGGATGCAAAAATATGTTTCCATAGTAACCTGTTGCACTCTCCCTTAAATTTTTTTTTTTACATTCTGAAAAAATACAAACATATACAAAAGTAAAGAGGACAATATAATGAACCCCTACATATCCCTTACCAAAATTATATCATTAGAGCCATTCCGGTTTCATCCATACACCCTGCCTACCCACATGAAATATTTTGAAGTTGGCCAGGCGCAGTGGCTCACGCCTGTAATCCCAGCACTTTGGGAGGCCGAGGCAGGCGGATCACGAGGTCAAGAGATCGAGACCATCCTGGCTAACACAGTGAAACCCCGTCTCTACTAAAAATACAAAAAAAATTAGCCGGGCGTTGTGGCGGGCGCCTGTAGTCCCAACTACTTGGGAGGCTGAGGCAGGAGAATGGCGTGAACCTGGGAAGCGGCACTTGCAATGAGCCGATATCGCGCCACTGCACTCCAGCCTGGGCGACAGAGCGAGACTCCGTCGCAAAAAAAAAAAAAAGAAATATTTTGAAGCAAAACTCACACATTGTTTCATCCTTAAACATTTCAGTATCTCTAAAAGATAACAATTTTTCTAATGTCAAATATTTCCTCAATTGTCTCAAAAAAATTTTTTTAGCTGGGCACAGTGGCTCACACCTGTTATCCCAGGACTTTGGGAGGCCAAGGTGGGTGGATCACGAGGTCAGAAGATTGAGACCATCCTGGCCAACATGGTGAAACTCTGTCTCTACTAAAAATACAAAAATTAGCCAGGCGTGGTGGCGCACGTCTGTAGTCCCAGCTACTCTGGAGGCTGAGGCAGGAGAATCGCTTGAACCTGGGAGGCAGAGGTTGCAGTGAGCCGAGATTGTGCCACAGCACTGCAGCCTGGGCGACACAACAAGACTCTGTCTTAAAAAAAGAAAAAAAAAAAAAAAACCAGCAAGACTCAATTAAGTCCTTACATTGTCATACATTATATCTCTTAAGTCCTTTTTAAGGTATAAGCTCCTCTTCATCTCTCCTTATCCTTGCAATTTATTTGTTAAAGAAAGTAGCTCTTTAGCCCTGTAAACTTACACAGTCTGGATGTGCTGATTACATCCCTTTATTATATAACATGTTCTTCTGTGCCCTGTACTTCCTGAGAAGCAGAAGTTACATCAAGGGATTTGGGCAGATTTTGGTCAAATTTTGGGCCACTATTCTTCCTAAGTGGTACCGTGCACTTCTGCCTGGAGGCCCAGAATGGCTGCCTCTCTCTTATGATGTGAGCTGCCACTGATAATCTTTGCTAGATCCATTCATTCATCAGAGACTATACACAGTGACAGTCCATCATTCCTTCTGTATTTATTAGCTGGGATATTTTAAAAAGAGAAACTTCCCCACACCAATTACTTGGATGCTCTAAGGTGTAATTCACAGGACAAAAAACTAGGTGCTAGATTATTTTCCTTGTCCACTGACACCACAGTCTCTCTTTCTATCACAATGCAGTGTGTTTTCCTCCAAGCCTCATCCACAAATGCATGCTGTGAGATTCTTGCATCCCCAGTGACCACTTGGATTTGTCATCTGATGCACACGACAGTCCACATGTACTGAGTCACCTGCTATATGCTGATGCACTGACTAGGAGTCAGGGATTCTGAGAAGAAGACTGACCCTGTCCTTGCCCTTAGAAGCTCTTCTTCTAATGGCTCAGGAAGAGGGGACTGCCACAAAACCACCAGGTACAATGCATATGTGTATACATGAGAACATACATGAGAACATACATGAGGGCATGCTCAGGTATGTTCAGCCAGGAGGGGGTCACTAGCCACACCTCCATGGAGGTAGTGACACATATGCACCGGGTGGGCCTTAAAGGGTGGGCAGGAGGAAGACACAGCCTACACAGAAGCAGGAAGGGTAAAAGCACGCAGACGCCCTTCACGTGCCTCTGCAGGCAGATGGCACACTGTGGCTCATTGCTGGCAGGCTTTCCCCAGAAAGGCCTGAGTAAGACGCACATACTAGAGCCACCTTGGACAGAACATGAATGTCCATCTGCTTTGGTGGGGTCTCTCTCTCTCTGCCCTGACTTGGCTGTCATCCTCATCTAATAGGAACAGAAAAGCCCACTGGCCAGCACCTGCTGCCCAGACTGGTCCCACTGCTATTAATCAGCACAAAGCTAAGATTCCAGGGTTTCTGTCTTTCACAAGAGCCCGACTAAATGTATATGCCTACAGATAAAGATGGGAAGAAAACTGGAAGAAATATACACAGTTAAGATGGTGGGACTACAGGTGAAATTCTGTAAGCGCTTTCATGCTGCTGTATGTTGTCTGCTGTATGTTGTTTTGCATAATAAAATGGAATCTGGGGCAGTGAAAGAAAAAGAAAAACACATAAATAAAAAATTCTGTGCAAGCAAATGTTATACAAATGTTATATAAATGTCTGGTTCCCTCTACTCTACCTCTATTCAGAAAATGTAGCACGTCTCCCGGGAGCAGTCATCCGTGGCAAGGAGGAAGTCTTGGGTCTCTTTGTCCTGCCTCCTGCCTTGGGGTTGGCTGAGAATCTCACCCTTCACACTGGGGGTACCACTACCCCCAAGATATGCTTCTTCAGTGTGAGCAGAAACAGGCTCCTTGGTGCATACTAAACAATGACTCACTGACAAAATAAGATCCCTTCACCTCACCCCCAGCTTGACACCCCTCCCAGCAACATATGTTCCTTGTTCTCTTTTCCAGTGGGAAAAGTCTGTGATTAGTTGCAGGGAGAAATTGCCACACAGAGTCCTGGCATCTTCCTTTGGTCTGATAAAGATATGTTCAAAAGAAGACCCAGTGCCCTCAGTAACAAACCCAACCTATCCCAGTTATCTTTCTCTCATCTGTCCCCTCACCGTAGGCACCCTGCCGTGTTCTTCATCCCTTCCTTTTCATCTCATCATCACCCTCCATCCAGCTTCAGCTGCCTCTTGCCTGGACTAGCGGGAGCCTCCTGATAGGACTCTGCCTCCTGGCCCCCGCCCACCAAGCCTTCCCACACAGGGAGCTCATCTCCGAAAAAACCACTTCTGCCAAAGACACCAACTGGCTATTTCATGATATTAAGGAATTGTTGTAATTTTAAAGGTAAATTATAATACCATGGTTTTGTTTTTTTAAAAAAGAGTACTTGTCTTTCCGAGGTACATTCTGAAATATTACAGATGAAGGGAAATGACATCAGGAATTTGATTTAAAAAAATAAAAGAAGCCAGGCTCGGTGGCTCACGCCTATAATCCCAATACTTTGGGAGGCCAAGGCAGGTGGAACACCTGAGGTCGGGAGTTCAAGATCAGCCTGACCACCACGGAGAAAACCCATCTCTACTAAAGATACAAAATTAGCTGGGGTGGTGGCGCATGCCTGTAATCCCAGCTTCTCGGGAGGCTGAGGCAGGAGAATCACTTGAACCCAGAAGATGGAGGCTGCGGTGAGCCAAGATCGTGCCATTGCACTCCAGCCTAGGCAACAAGAGCGAAACTCCATCTCAAAAAAAAAAAAAAAAAATAGTAATAAATAAATAAATAAAAGGAAAACATAAGTTGGATAGAAATGAAATAAGGTCAGCCATGAGATGATTCTCACTGAAGCCGCGTGATGATGGGTAAGCAGGAATTTATTATACCAGTCTATTATTCGTATCCCTTTGAAATTTTCTAATAAAATTTTTATTTTCATTTTTTATTGAGACAGGGTCTTGCTGTCGCCCAGACTGGAATGCAGTGGCGCAACTGAGGCTAATTACAGCCTAGCCTCAACCTCCCAGGCTCAAGCAATCCTCCCACCTCAGCATTCACCACCACTCTAGGCTAATTTTTTGTAGAGATGGGGTCTCACTATGTTACCTACCCTGATCTTGAACTCCTGGGCTCAAGTAACCCTGACCTCTCAGTCTCCCAACGTGCTGGGATTACAGGCGTGAGCCACCACGCCTGGCCTGTAATAGAATTTTTAAAACTTTCAAAGGATTCCTCTTGCCATGAGAATGTGTAAGGACAGCCTAGCATCCAAATTCCCACACTGTCTTTCCAATTCCATGTCCCCACCATACCTCACGTTTGCTTGTTCAATGTTACTTCTGGAAAGCCTAATGTGTGCAGGTTCCTGCGGGCATGACAGACCCTCATACCATACAGTCAAGGTCTAGCCTCCCCTAACATGCTCACCTCACATCTCTACAGGGAGACCCTCAGCATCCCCCAACCCATCATTCAATAAATATCCATTACACACCTACTATGTGCCAGGCATGGCACACAGCCTCTGGCCTCAGAGCACACAGTCAAGTCAGGGAGAAGTCAACTGACAACTGGCTCCCAGCAGAATACTGGTAAGTGCTCTGATGGACGTAGGCCCAGGATGCTGGCAAGCACAGGGAGGAACCTGATCTAGCTGTGAGGTGGAGAGGGGCAGGGAAGGCAGCCCAAGGCAATGTTTTCTCTTCCTCAAGTCTCACCCACCCCCATGTAAACGCTTTGCTTCCTACAATGCCAGTTTGAATCCCACCTCCCATGACACCACACTCTTCCTGCCTTCCCAACCAAGTGTGGTCCCAACAGTGTCTTATCAACTGTTAACACTTACTGTTTATAAAGAGGCCACATACCCAAAGGCCTAGAAAAGCCAGCCAGCTAGCATGACTGAGTGTGTGAGACAAGTTTAAGACCAGAGTGTGAAACCAAGGCATATGCCCCTTCTGAAGTGCCAGCTCACTGTGGCTGGGTGCAGATGTGGACCCTGTGTAAATCCAGTAAAACTGGATTTTTTTTTTTTTTTTTTTGAGACGGAGTCTCGCTCTGTAACCAAGCTGGAGTGCAGTGGCGCAATCTCGGCTCACTGCAACCTCCGCCTCCCAGGTTCAAGCAATTCTCCTGCCTCAGCCTCCCGCGTAGCTGGGACTACAGGTACGTGCCACCATGCCAGCTAATTTTTGTATTTTTAGTAGAAATGAGGTTTTGCCATGTTGGCCAGGATGGTCTCAATCTCTTGACCTTGTGTTCCACCCGCCTCAGCCTCCCAAAGTGCTGGGATTACAGGCATGAGCCACTGCGCCCGGCCTCAAGCAAAACTGGGTTTTATATATTAACTATAATTTTTTTTTGAGATAGGGTCTCACTATGTTGCCCAGGCTGGTCTCGAACTCCTGAGCTCAAGCCATCTGCCCAACTTGGCCTCTCAAAGTGCTAGGATTATAGGCATGGGCCACTGCACCTGGCCAACTTTGCATTACAATAGTCCTAACTTATCTGAGGGGTATATGTTCCAAGATCCCCAGTGGATGTCTGAAACCTAGGATAGTACCAAGCCCTGTATGTACTATGTTTTTTTCCTATAAATACATACTTATGCTAAAGTTTCATTTATAAATTAGGCACAGTAATAGATTATCAACAATAACTAATAATAAATGAACAATTATACCATATACTGTAAGAAAAGTTACGTGAATGTGGACTCTTTTTCTTTCTCAAAATATCTTATTGCACTGTACTCGTCTATTTTTGGACCACAGTTGACCTTGGGTAACTGAAATTGAGCATTGAGAGTACTACAGTATATTATCCACAATATATTGTTTTACATATTATATAACATCATGTATCATGTCATATATATAATGTATATTATATTTTTAATATAAAAATTCATATACAATCTATACAATCCAGATTTTTATATGGAATCTTCAAATTTAAAACCCGGCTCAAATTTTGTTGTTGTTGTTGTTGAGACAGAGTCTCACTCTATCACCCAGGCTGGAGTTTAGTGGCACAATCTCGGCTCACTGCAACCTCCGCCTCCTGAGTTCAAGCTATTCTCGTGCCTCAGCCTCCAAAGCAGCTTTGATTACAGGCATGCGCCACCATGCCCAGTGATACGGTTTGGCTGTGTCCCTACCCAAATCTCATCTCAAATTGTAGTTCCTGTAATCCCCATGTGTCTTGGGAGGGACCCAGTGGGAGGTAACTGAATAATGGGGGCAGTCTCCTCCAAGCTATTCTTGTGATAGTGAGTGAGTTCTCATGAGATCTGATGGTTTTATTTTATTTACTTATTTTTTTTTTTTAGACGGAGTCTTGCTCTGTCACCCAGGCTGGAGTGCAGTGGTGCAATTTTAGCTCATTGCAACCTCCGCCTCCCAGGTTCCAGCAATACTCCTGCCTCAGCCTCTTGAGTCACTGGGATTACAGGTGTGTGCCACCATGCCCGGCTAATTTTTGTATTATTAGTAGAGACGGGATTTCACCATGTTGGCTAGGCTGGTCTTGAACTCCTGGTCTCAGGTGATTCACCCACCTAGGCCTCCCAAAGTGCTGGGATTACAGGTGTGAGCCACTATGCCCACCAAGATCTGATGATTTTACAAGGGGCTTCCCTTCCCCTCCACTCTGCACTTCTCCTTGCTGCTGCCACGTGAAGAAGCACGTGTTTGCTTCCCCTTCCACCATGATTTTAAGTTTCCTGAGGCCTCCCCAGCCATGCTGAACTGTGAGTCAATTAAACCTCTTTCCTTTATAAATTACCCAGTCTCTGGTATGTCTTTATTAGTAGCATAAGAATGGACTAATACAGTAAATTTGTACTGGGGAGTGAGGCACTGCTGTAAAGATACCCGAAAATGTGGAAGCGACTTTGGAATTGGGTAACAGGCAAAGGTTGGAACAGTCTGGGGGTGCTCAGAAGAAGACAGGAAAATGTGGGAAAGTTTGGAACTTCCCAGTGACTTGGAGGGCTCAAAAGACAGGAAGATGTGGGAAAGTTTGGCACTTCCTAGAGACTTGTTGAATGGCTTTGACCAAAATGCTGATAGTGATATGAACAATGAAGTCTAGGCTGAAGTGGTCTCAGATGGAGATGGGCAACTTGTTGGGAACTGGAGTAAAGGTCTCTCTTGCTATGCAAAGAGACTGGTGGCATTTTGCCCCTGCCCTAGAGATCTATGAAGCTCTGAACTTGAGAAGATGATTTAGGGTATCTGGCGGAAGAAATTTCTAAGTGGCAAAGTGTTCAAGAGGAAGCAGAGCATAAAAGTTTGGAAACTTGGCAGCCTGATGATGTGACAGAAAAGAAAAACCCATTTTCTGGGAGGAAATTCAAGCCTACTGCAGAAATTTGCATAAGTAAGGAGGAGCTTAATGTTAATCACCAAGACAATGGGGAAAATGTCTCCAGGGCATGTCAGAGACCTTCATGCAGCCCCTCCCACTACAGGGCTGGAGGCCTAGAAGGAAAAATTGGTTTCCTGGGCCTGGCCTCCTGCTGTGTGCTGCCTAGGGACTCCGTGCACTGCATCCCAACCACTCCAGCCATGGCTAAAAGGGGCCAATGTACAGCTCAGGCATGGCTTCAGAAGGTGTAAGCCCCAAGCCTTGGCAACTTCTATGTGGTGTTGAGCCTGCAGGTACACAGAAGTCAAGAACTGAGGTTTGGGAATCTCTGCCTAGATTTCAGGGGAGGCAGAAGTTTGCTTCAGGGGCAGGGCCCTCATGGAGAACCTCTGCTAGGGCAGTGCGGAAGGAAAAAGTCTCCACTGGGGCACTGCCTAGTGGAGCTGTGAGAAGAGGGCCACCATCCACCAGACCCCAGAATGGCAGATCCACCGACGGCTTGCATCATGCATCTGGAAAAGTGGCAGACACTCAACACCAGGCCGTAAAAGCAGCCCGAAGTGGGGTGGTACCCTGCAGAGCCACAGGGCTGGAGCTACCCAAGGGCCTGGGAGCCTACCTCTTGTATCAGCATGCCCTGAATGTGAGACTTGGAATCAAAGGAGATCATTTTGGAACTTTAAAGTTTAATGGTTGCCCTATTGGATTTCAGACTTGCATGGGGCCTGTAGCCCCTTTGTTTTGGCCAATTTCTCCCATTTGGAATGGGTGTATTTACTCAATGCCCATACCCCATTGTATCAAGGAAGTAACTAACTTGCTTTTGACTTTACAAGCTCATAGGCAAAAGGGATTTGCCTTGTCTCAGATGAGACATTGGACTTGAGTTAATGCTGGAATGAATTAAGACTTTGGGGGACTGTTGAGAAGGCATGACTGTGTTTTGAAATGCAAGGACATGAGAACTGGGAGGGGCCAGGGGTGAAATGATATGGTTTGGCTGTGTCCCCACCCAAATCTTATCTTGAGTTATGGTTCCCATAATCCCCACGTGTCATGGGATGGTCCAGGTGGGAGGTAAATTAATCATGGGGGCAGTTACCTCCAGGCTGTTCTCATGATAGTGAGTTCTCACGAGATGTGATGGTTTTATAAGGGGCTTTTCCCCTACCTTCACTCTGCACTTTTTGCTGCTGCCATGTGAAGAAGGATGTGTTTGCTTCCCTTTCTGCCATGATTGTAAGTTTCCTGAGGCCTCCCCAGCCCTGCAGAACTGTGAGTTGATTAAACTTCTTTCCTTCATAAATTACTCAGTCCCAGGTATGTCTTTATTAGCAGTGTGAGAATGGACTAATATACCTGGCTTTTTTTTTTTTTTCCCCAGTAAAGATGGGGTTTTGCCATGTTGGCCAGGCTGGTCTCAAACTCCTGGCCTCAAGTGATCTGCCCACCTTGGCCTTCCAAAGTGGTGGGATTATAGGCCTGAGCCACCACACCTGGCCCCGGCTCAAATATGTTGAAATACTTTGTGGGCTAAATTAAATGAGTCTGTAATTAAAATTAAGTCCCAATCTAAAAGTTTATAACTTCTGGCCTATTTCATGTTATCCAACACCTACCAGGTATTAGCCTTCCTTTTCACATAAATGCCTTCTCCCTAATTACAAGCTCCTTGTAAAGGAAATATTTCACCCCCTCAAGGGAACAGGGCACTGAAAACCCTCAGGGCTGTCAAGGTGGGGACAAGTCAGTCTTCCACCAAGCACTTACTTCTGACTGGCCTCCATCTCCAACAGGGCAGAGAGAGCTGAGGTTCCCTTCTTCCCCACTGGGGGTGCAGTTGACTCCAGAGAATGCGTGGAAATGGGCCCAGTCATCTGCAAGCCTTTCATGGCGGTCCCTTTCTAAAGCAGAGAAGAGGAGACAAGGCCATCAGCCAAGTGGGCTCTCAGTGGAAGCCACTCATGCCCCAGGGCATGCTGCAGCATTCCCAGGCCCCGGGAATCCCATGGACAGGGTCAAGGAACACAGGTTCTCAGTGTTCAGTAAGTGACAGAAAACCGCCTTTCATTCAAATGCCTGGTCAGCTAAAAATAAACTGCCCCTTTATTTGCACATCCTCATTTCACCCTCACCACAGATCTATGATGTAAATAATGTTAGCCCTATTTTACAGAAGAAGAAACTGAAGCTCAGAGAGGTTAAGGAACTTATCCCACATCCTACTGGAGCTGGAATCCAAACTCCAGTGACCTCACTTCAAAACCAAAGTTCTTCCCACTATCCAAGCTCTCCCAGACACGTTTCTAATCGTAAGTGATGTTGTGTACATAAGGCAGCTGGTGTGAGAGGAAGAATACTGAACTTGAGGTTAAAAACAAAAAAAACATGGCTGATGATGGAACATTCCCTGGTGATTAAAAAGAGTGAACTACTTACACACACAACTTGGATGAATCAGAAGGCATTATGCTAAGTGAAAGAAGGCAGCCTCAAAAGGTCACATATTATGTGATTCTCTTTTCTGTGATGTTTGGAAAAGACAAAAGTACAGTGATAAGGAACACACCAGTGGTTGCCAGGGATTAGAGATGGGGGAGAACATGACTATCAAGACTAGCATAAGTCCAGGCATGGTGGCTCATGCCTGTAATCCCAGCACTTTAGTCCAGGAATTTGAAAACAACCTGGGCAAAATGGGGAAACTCCATCTCTACAAAAAATACAAAAAATTAGCTGGACATGATGCACACCTTTAGTCCCAGCTACTTGGAAGCCTAAGGTGGGAGGTCAAGGCTGCAGTGAGCCATGATCATGCCACCACACTCCTGCTTGGGCAACAAAGTGAGACCTTGTCTCGAAAAAAAAAAAAAAGACTAGCATGAGAGAATTTTTTTGAAGTGATGGTGATGGTTGCATGAATCTATATATTTGTTAAAATTCACAGACCTGTGTACACACACACACACATACACACACACACACACACGTCAATTATACTATATGTTTAAAAAAAATGCTGAATCCCAGTTCTGCCCCTTATAGCTGGCATATTCCATAACCCCCAGAAGCCTGAGTCTCCGCACTGGGTGGTGTGTGACTGAAATAAGGCACAGGGTGCTGGGAACTCTGGAGCAAGAAGAGTGAGGAAGGACTGCTGCTGTTCACCTCCTGAGAGTTTCTACTCAGAGGTTCAGCACCCAGTCACACAAGCAGCTGTGCTCAACATAGGGTCCCACTTGGGGAGCACCTCAAGGCACCATGTCCTCAGGTGGAAGGGAATGGCTCTATGCCACAGAACACCACCCAGTCACTGCCTGCACTCTATCCCTTCCTCCTTTACCCCGCGGTGGAGGAGAAAACACTGTTTTGGATTTAAGGTAAACACTGGGCAGCTGAGGAGTAAATAAGTAGGCTGATGATGAGAGGCCCCTAATAGAGGAGGTGGCAGGCCCTGCATCTCACACCAGGCGCACTCCCTGAGTCTAAGGAGCCCTTACCCGCATCATGCGATCCGAGCGATGCCGCCTGCGAATGCGATTCAAGCCCTCCACAAAGCGGACAAAACCATCCAGGAGTTGCCACTCGTCCTCGTCTGCACGGGGCCTGTCCCCATAGATGTCGCAGTGGGCCTCCCCCTCCGTGATGCGCTTGGTGGCGGTGACACAGGCTGGCAGCAGCAGGAAGCGGGTCCTCCAGAACTTCAGGGACTCAATTAAGCTAAGGGGGCAAGGAAAACACAGGGTGGTGGTGAGAGAAAGGAGATAATGAAAGCACTCTCAGTAAACTCTCTGTGGAGTTGGTGTGTGAAGGTCCATCTCCCCATGAGTATGTGCTCATTTGATGCTACAGCTCATGGCTTTGTTGAAAATACAAGTTCTGAGAATGGGCATGGTGGCTCACACCTATAATCCCAGCACTTTGGGAGGCCGAGGCAGGAGGATTGCTTGAACTCAGGAGTTGAGACCAGCTTGGGGAACATGGCGAGACCCCATCTCCACCTTGTCTCAAAAAAAAAAAAAAAAAAAAAAAAAAGAGCTCTGAAGGAAGACCACAAAGGCAGTTTTTGCTTTGATTCCAGAGATATCAGAATGCTTCTGCACACCCAGGCCCAGTGAATTTGTGGCTATCATCACAATCACAAATCATGCATAGAAATCAAAAATTAAAAATCAGGCGTCACAAAGCTACCAGCCAACTAGTGGAGAGAACGTTAAGAAGGCAATCTGCACTGCCACTTGCATCAAGGGCACGTCATCCCTGAGCTTCATGGGGTTTGTTTTTTCAACTGTGGCAAAATACACATAACAAAAAATTTATCACATTAACCTATTTTATTTTTTTGAGACAAGGTCTTGCTGTGTTGCCCAGGCTAGGGTGCAGTGGCACTATCAAGGCTCACTGTAGCCACGACCTCCTGGGCTCAAGCACTTCGGCCTCCTGAGTAGCTAGGACTATAGGGGTATGTCACCATGCCCAGTTAATTTTATTTTTTTTTATTTATTTATTTTTTGAGACAGTTTCACTCTTGTTGCCCAGGCTGGAGTGCAATGGCTTGATCTTGGCTCACTGCAACCTCCACCTCCTGGGTTCAAGCGATTCTCCAGCCTCAGTCTCCCAAGTAGTTGGGATTACAGGCACGCACCACCACACCCAGCTAATTTTTGTATTTTTAGTAGAGACAGGATTTTGCCATGCTGGCCAGGCTGGTCTCGAACTCCTGACCTCAGGTGATCTGCCAACCTCGGCCTCCCAAATTGCTGGGATTACAGGCATGAGCCACCGCGCCCAGTCAACCCTGTCTCTTTACAAAGAAAAAAAAAAAGAAAAAGGGAGAGAGAGAGAAAGGGCAGAAAGTGTTAAAATACACATACACATCCTTGCCCAAGGATGCAAAGATGGAAATCCAAAGCCCACTCTCTGACCTGAAGTCTTCAGAGCCGGCAGAACAGATATACTGATCTAAGTAATTCCACTTGTACTCCTCCAGCCGTTCGTGGGAGAATTCCACCCAGCAGGAGACGAACTCTGAGTCTGAGTGGGAAGGACAGAGGCTGTAGGTGTAGTGGATCTGGGCAGATTCATAAGGATACCTGCAAAATAAAGGGCAGGTCCCCAAATTCAAAAGAGTTAGAGACAAATTCCTGCCAATTCTTATTTTCTATCTCTATACACTTAGAACCATCCTTGACATTTACCCCTCAACTGTAGTAACCAACTTATCCCAGGGAACGGTACTAGAAATTTCTCAGATCTTCTTAAACTCTTTCCTTCTTCTCTCCTCACAATCTTTATTTGAAATAGGCTTGTCATGAATCATGCTAAACATTATAAGATGAATCAAATCCCTTTTGGAAGTAGGTAAGCTATAACCCTAAAATAACCCTAGAAACAAACAAACAAAACTCCAAAAGAAAAACCAACCACTGAACTTCCTCAGTTTGAATGATGTACTATACACACAATTTAGTATGTGGCCATAATTCAGGACAATAACTGAAGACTTTAAATATCCAAATACTCACTTGGGAAGGTATCGCGTCACTGTGATCATCTTATCCTTCAGCGTCACTTTGTGGAACGTTCTGCCCATACTCAGCCAATACTGGTCCTCCTCCTCAGGGCGGTTTCGGGACACAAGGCCTAACAGAAAAATAATAATTTCCTCCATCTGTTTGAAGCTCATTCCTATAACAGACAATTGTTTCTCATCCATATAGATTCAGAAAACAATGTAACACTTTCTCTTAGGGGCAGTTTCATGGAAGAAAGTTATTCTTGGTTAAAAAAAACAAACAAAAAACTCCTGAGGTTGGCAGATTTTTCTGTTATTAAACCAACCAGGAGCAGATTAGAGCCTGAAGGTGCTAGCTGATAGCACCTAGATGGCACACTCAAAGCTGAACAACCTGATACCTCATCCTCTGGAGAGGAAAGTTCTGTAAGAGATGACTGTGTTACTAAAATGGAACTCTACTACACCAGCATAAGCTGCCCACCTTGGCATTCGAGGTTCTCACTCCAAGGTGGCAGCCAACCTAGCTTTCTGGTCCTAGCTCTCACTAATCCTAAACTGCTATACCAAGTTTCAGTCTAAAAGGACCATTTATTGATTTGCTGCAAATATTTGCTCATGTTGTTTCTTTTTTTTTTTTTTTTTTTGAGATGGAGTTTCGCTCTTGTTGCCCAAGCTGGAGTGCAATGGCCCGATCTCGGCTCACTGCAACCTCCACCTCCTGGGTTCAAGCAATTCTCCTGTCTCAGCCTCCCGAGTAGCTGGGATTACAGGCACGCTCCACCACCCCAGGCTAATTTCGTATTTTTAGTGGAGACGGGGTTTCTCCATGTTGGTCAGGCTGGTCTTGAACTCCCAACCTCAGATGATCCACTCGCCTCGGCCTCCCGAAGTGCTGGGATTACAGGCGTGAGCCACCGTGCTCAGCCTGCTCATGTTGTTTCTTTTGCATTCTCTTCCTGGGCCACCACTGAAATCCCAGATCATCTGAAGTCACCATCAAATGCTACTTCTTCCAGAAAGCCATCAGGCCCCATCAGCAGTCTGAATCCTACCTTGTATATAGTTCCTTGTGCGTATATCTGTCACCCCTTACAAATTAAAACTTCCAGGAGGCCAGGGCTCAAACGTTGTTCCTCCTTACATTTTTAGAAGCACCTGATAAAGTGCCATGTCCAGTATTAGCTGAACTGAACTGAACGCAGGAAAGAGGAAAATAATCAGGAATCAAGAAAATGACAAGTGTTCAAGAGAGTAAAAATCATGCCTCAAAGAACAACCAAGCCAAGCCAAGATTCCTTTGATCTAGAAATGAAAGGCAGTCCTCTTGAGGCAGGAGAACAGGGTCTGGAGGCAGGGAACCTAAGACTAATTCAGGCTGACTTCCTAGAACTAAATCAAAAGGAAAACCCCAACTTTCCACACCTAAGTAACAAAAGGACCGGAGGTTACTCCCTTCACAAACCACTCTCCGCTTTTTCTGTGAGGCAGATGGAAAACTGAAAGTGTCTCTGATTGGTTTGATTTTTACAACCAAACAGACGTTTGCATAGAAGTGTAACTTTGTAACTTCACTTCAGCAACCAATCAGACTGATTGCGAGCCACCACTTCATTTACATAGCGTGTACACCAAGTAACCAACGGGACACTTCTAGAAGGTATTTAAACCCTAAAAAATTCTGTAAAGGAGCCCTTGAGCCCCTATGCTCCAGCTCACTCCCACACTGTGGAGTGTACTTTCATTTTCAATAAATCTCTCCTTTTGCTGCTTCATTCTTTCCTTGCTTTGTTTGTGCATTTTGTCCAACTCTTTGAGGTGCCAAGAACCTGGACACCTTCCACTGGTAACACTCATTCAGCTCTGAGACAGTCACACAGTGACAGGCAGCATGTGAGCGGTCAAGAGGAGAGAGGAGGACAGCAGAGGCTGAAATAATATTCACTGTGAATGTGGAAATTTCCCCGATGGTGCCAAGGGAGTAGCAGGCCAGCTGCATACAAAACAGAAGCTACTCAGGGGACCCCAGGTCCAACCCCAGCACTTTCACTTGCCAGCTTGTGTGATCTTGGGCACCAAATCTCACTTTCTACAGCAAGAAAGAGGGCAAGCCCTCATCCAAGCATTCCTTCTTCATTCATGCAACAAACACTCTGCTGGCTGTTGGGAAGACAATGCCATGGGACAAGGTTCATGAGCATCTGACATCGTACCTGACACCCCCATTCTAAATTAGGTGCACCCCAGTTATTTCTGTGTTTATCCTGCATGGTATTTATTCTTCACAATCTGTGATCAAATATATACTTGTGGTTTATTAGTTTAACATCTGACTCTGCCATAGACTGTAGACTCTGAGGGGAGGGCTGATGCTGTTCTGTTCCCTGCTGGAATAGGGCCTGGCTCACACTTAGTATTCAATAAATCTCTGATGAATAAGCAGCACAGGCCTGGTTGTGATGGCAACTTTTCCAGTAATTAGGATAACAATGGTACCCTTTCTGTTACTATAGAAATTAGAGAGATTAAATTTATCACAGCAAAAAAATAACCAGAAAGGATACAGTCAGGCAAGCAGCCTCTGGCCAACTAACCATCACATGAGGCTCATGGATCAGCCAGGAACAGAACTGGACACAGAGGAACTCAGACCACTGAGGGACATCCACCAGCTATTCCAGAGAACAACAGGTGGGCAGCCTGGAAGGTGCCAGTGACATGAAAGGTGAATTCATCTTATTACTCTTGGGATAAAGGACAAAATCCTTCAGACAGGCTTGGGTCTCCTGACATCTCTGGCTGCACCTCCGGCTTATTCCTTGTGCTCCATCATATCAGCCTTCTTTTTGGTGTCCAGAAAGTATCTCAATGCTTTCTGCCACAGAGCCTTTGCACAAACTGGCCTCTGCCTGTTATGCCCTTCCCTTCTACTCCTGCCCTCCATTTCCAACCTGCCGCTCCTGGTAACTCCTACATGTACTTTGGGTCTAATCTCAAACCTCATCTCCTCAGGGAAGCTGTCCATGACCCACCAGATTAGATAGGGCCCCATATTAAATGTTCTGACAGCCCCATGACTTCTCCCTCAGCCTTTATCACAACATATAATTATATTTCATAGTTTGACTAATGTTATTTTCCCTGACTGGGCTATAAATCCTCTCCCCAGCCAGGCAGAGTAAGTGCTTCAAAGATACTGTAGAATCAATGTGTGAATAAATGGATTCATATATTTATTTTTCTTTTCTTTTCTTTTTAGAGACAGGGTCTCCCTACATTGCCTAGGCCAGTCTTGAACTCCTGGGCTCAAGGGATCCTCCTGCCTCAGCCTCCCAACGTGCTAGGATTACGCCCAGCCAAATTCATATACTTATTAACCCATACTGTTGCATATTACTGTATGCCAGGCATGTAGTTTCCATTGTGGAGGACAAAAAGATGAACAGAAATAGTCTTGGCACTCAAAAAGGTTAACATTCAGTAGGGTCTGGAAGATGAATACAAGGCAACATGTGATAAATGTCACAAGGGGCTTTCAAAGAAAATCCAGGGGGAGTCCAAAGCTTCACACATAAACAACAGGGCCTGGACTGGATGACCGCATGCTCCAACAGGGCCACAGTTCTCTGATCCTCTGGCCCAAGAAGCTTTCATGGGGACAAAGATGATCCAAGGTTATCACTAGGTGATCAGGGGAGGGGGGGTCTTGTTAGCAATAATGAAGAGACAGGAGACTAAGACAGCTCATTGATTGTTCCAGGAAGTGATTACTGCTTTCTGATTCCAGGCACCTGCACTTAATTCCCTCTGTTAGACTTATTTTAGAGGAGCTCTCCATTGCCTGGCTCTGATTCAATTAGCAACACCGATTCTCTGTTACTTACTAGCCTAATCTGCCACTCATAGATGACCCATTCTTGCTTCAAGCCACCAAGCTTCAGTGATAAAGAAGAGACAGATGAATCCAGAATAAGAAAATAAGAACAAATGTAAACTTCAGGTTTAGGTAACATCTGACAATCTGCTGTGTGCCAGGTACTGTACTAGAAACAATTAAATATAGGTTTAGAAACGTTGACAGCTCAGTAGTGACTCAGCTGCCTACTATTCCCAGGTGTCTGTCCAAGCCAGGCTGTCCCATTCCTGAACTTGGCCACATCCACTGCCTTAAAGGGAGAGTTGTAAATTAAAGAGAGCATTTAAAATAAATCCATACCTAAAGGAGACTTTATTCCTCACTTAAGTAGAATTTATAAAGAAAACTTCTATGTCGAAAACGATTACTACTAAATTTATCTACTACCTACCATCTTGAAAACCCACTTCCACATACACAGTAGAAGAGAAAAAAATAGAAATCCAAGGAGAAAAACTCACCTCGGCTATAGAGTGGGCTACTGCTCAGCGGGGGCGGGACAGCAGGATTGGGTTTCTGTGTCTTGGGCTGCACTATGATTTGGTAGCCCTGCATGAGACGTTGGCAAATAAACTCTTCAAATACCTGCTGGGCTGTCATCTGCACACCATCTTCGTCCCTCCTGAAAACAACAGATGATTGCTCATACAGATGCTTGGCCCGAGACAGTGACACTTAAGAGTGCACAGTCTCATCATCTCCTTTGCTTCATCCCCTTATAACCATTCTATGGTGGTTCATAAAACTAACAGTTTGAGCTGGGCATGGTGGCTCATGTCTGTAATCCTAGCACTCTGGAAGGCTGAGATGGGCAGATTGCATATGCATAAGCCCAGGAATTCAAGACCAGCCTGGGCAACATGGCAAAACCCTGTCTCTACCAAAAAATATACAAAAATTAACCAAGTATGGTGGCACGCGCTTGTAGTCCCAGCAGAGGTTGCAGTGAGCCAAGATTGCATCACTGCACTTCAGCCTGGATGACAGTATATAAAAGAGATAGAGAAAAGAAAATATAATAGAAAATATGAAAAAAAACTACTAACAATTTGTAAATCAGTGTTTTGGGGAAAATTAACAGTTCAAAGAGGTGAAAAGAGGCAGGTAACTCAATGCCCAAATGAGTAATTTTAGAAAAGAAGATCAGATTTAGTGTGCCCAAAATAATTGCATTAGAAAATATGAGAATAAACATCAAAGCCAGAACCAACTGGAGTTAAAAATAAATCAATCAACGAGGAGAAATAGTTGATGTCAATAGAACTCTGGAGAAACGAACAGTTCTTACATCATAAAATTACCCACAGCCAGTGCAGCAGCTCACACCTATAATCCCAGCACTTTGGGAGGCCGAGGTGGGTGGATCACCTGAGGTCATGAGTTCGAGACCAGCCTGGCCAACATGGTGAAACCCTATCTCTACTAAAAATACAAAAAATTAGCCATGTGTGGTGGCACACGCCTGTAGTCCCAGCTACTCAGGAGGCTGAGACGTGAGAATCGCTTGAACCTGGGAGGTAGAGGTTGCAGTGAGATGAGACTGCACCACTGCACTCCAGCCTGGGGGACAGAGTGAGACTCTGTCTCAAAAAAATAAAAAAAAAAGTTACCCAAATATAAAAAGAGGACACAGGCTTGAAAATTCAGTGTTCAGCCAGACACAGTGGCTCAAGGTAGTAATCCCAGCACTTTGGGACGCAACAGATGGGCAGATGACTTGAGCCCAGGAGTTTGAGACCAACCTGGGCAATATGGCAAAATAGCGTCTTTATAAAATACACAAAAATTAGCTAGATGTGGTGCTGCCACTCCCAGCTACTCCTAGCTACTTAGGAGGCTGAGGTGGAAAGACTGTTTGTACTCAGGAGGTAGAGGCTGCAGTGAGTTGTGATCATACCACTGTACTCCAACCCGAGCGACAGAGTGAGACCCTCTCTCAGTTAAAAAAAAAAAAGGAAAAAAAAAGATAAAATACAATTCAATGTTTTTTTAAAATTTTTTATTTAACGGCCATGCTAATCTCCTCTATATCGTTCCAATTTTAATATATGTGTTGCTGAAGCCAGCACAAATCCAGTGTTCTGATGCATGTGTGGGATATATCCGAAACCCTCACCAACCAAGCCAAGTGCCTTTTTCTCTGACACTGACCTGTCGATGTCTGCTTCTGGAAGGAGATCATAACAGCCCTCTGTGTAGTCATTCTGCAGGCCCTGGCGGTCAGGGAAGTAGTCGGTGGTAAGGGGGAGGCACGCCGGAGTAGTGAGAGACTTCCAGTCCACTCCAACTGTGCAACAGAAGCCTGGCACTACAGGGGGAGCAGACAGTGTCAGAACTGCCTCACGTAACAGGGGGAAAAGGTACATGTGGTCACCATGGCAAGTGTGGGATGGGGGGCCAGGGGAGGGAAGGGGAGGGAAGAGTGGGGAAAAAAGTTCAGGGTGAAAGATGGTAAAATTGCCAGGATTGGGAAGAAACAGGGTAGGGGAGGGAGAAAGAGAGAGAAACAGAGTTTGTTAGACAATGCAGTGCACATGCTTATCCAATCCCATCATGCAAATGGGATTCACAGCTGATATTTTTCATTTTCTGCTGACTGTGAGCTGCAGCCGCAATGCAGGTGAGATTACGGCAGGGCAGGCAGAATTACATGTCGAAGCACATCAACGTTCCAAGAGCAGGGAGGCCCAAGCACGAGCCTCTCCCAAGGACTGCAGAGTGGCTAGGTGGGGAAAGGAGGGGAGCTCAGCCTCGTTTGGGAGCAAACAGCATACAGTAGCAGAAATAAGGAATACTTCTAGCACTGCAAAAATAAGTAACAGATTCAAAAGGGTGGGAGGAAAAATCAAGTAAGGATATCTGGGAAAGTTAGGAGGCTGGAACTTTAAGAGACAGAGTTTTAACAATCCAAAAATGAAGGCTGCAGTTAGCAGAGCAGTCCTGACCACATGGGTCTGTCCCGAATTGCCTGCTCCTCAGTTAAAGCAGAGTTTCTCAGCCTCGGCAACAACAGAGACTTTGAACCAGATAATTCTTTGTTGTGGGGGCTGTCCTGGGTACCGCAGCAGCATCCTTGGACTCTACTCACTAGATGCCAGTGGCATCCCCTAGCTGTGAAAACCAGAAATGTCTGCAGGCATTGACATGTTCCCCTGGGGGAGGGAAATCCTCCCTGGTTAGGAAAATCCTCCCTGGTTGAGCTTCACTGAGTTAAAATAATAGGGCAGTTACCTCTTTAAGTAATTTAAGTGAAGACTATCTTTTAACTTTCCAAAGAAGGGAGCAATACGAAGCCGAAAAACTCTGAGCGTTTGTCTCTAAGTTCTGAATGGGATACTCACTTTATTTTTGTACCATGCTAACAGCTTATAATGTGTTGTAGCCCCTGCTGCCTCATCAGCCCTCCCGTCAATGAAGAACAAAATTTGTGTGCTAAGTCACAGCAGAAAGATGCCCCACGTGGCACCACTGACTTGGGGAAGATGATTTAGCCTGCAACAGATCTAATTCATGCTCTACACAGGCCTTATAAACTCATTAATAATTCAGGAATCCAAAACATAGGCCCGAATAGCCTAATTAATCATCTCCATTTTTCTATATGGCAGCCGAGAAGGTGAGCTTGTTTTTACTTCCTGGCTAAAACAGAAGATGAGGACCTGATCAAAGCCCCAGTGGGGAAGCCAGAAACAGAAGACAAATCTATCTTTATGTCCTCTTAGATCATCCTGGCCATCATCAGCCTTCTGACCCTCAGGATTACAAAAATCTTGTAGAAATGCTTTCTGCTGGGCACACAACAAGACACAGACTGTTCAAATGCTTAGTTCGAGATCTCATGATGAGAAAGGATCCTGATTGTAAGTTTAAGGGTGTTCTGTCTCTAGGAAAAGAGTGCAGCCTCTTTTCTAACCCCAGTATCTTCTGGTTCTGAAAAGAGGGACTCTGAGGAAGTTCTACACCTCAGAACCACTAAAATAACAATGATGAGCAAAGGTAACAAACTCCGGTGACAGGGTTGTAGAGAAATAGAATCATCTATTCACTGCTGGTAGCTTTCTGGAAAATAGTCAATCTGCCAACCATACTTTGGGGAGTGTAATCCAAAGACATTAACCAAAAGAAAAAATACACCTGCTGCACCATGTATTATGTATTATTATTAACTTCTAATTTAATAGAGACAGGGTCTCACTATATTGCCCGGGCTGGTCTCAAACTCCTGGGCTCAAGTGAAGCACCCACCTCAGCCTCCCAAAGTTCTGTGATTACTGGCATGAGCCACCATGCTCAGCCCACCAGGTATTATCATAGCTGCATTATATGCTATGGCTAAAAAGCAGAAAGCCATCCAAATGGTCATGAATAAGAAATGACTACTCAAACCAAGATACAGTAATATGCTTAATGTTGCCATTACAAATGACTGCTAGGAGGGACCTGAACAAATAGTAAAAGGATTATTAAGTGGGGACAAAGGCTGGGCGAGGTGGCTCACGGCTGTAATCACAGCACTTTGGGAGGCCAAGGCGGGCGGATCACGAGGTCAGGATCACGAGGTTAGGAGTTTGAGACCAGCCTAACCAACATGGTGAAACCCCGTCTCTACTAAAAATACAAAAATTAGCCAGGCGTGGTGGCGCGCGCCTATAATCCCAGCTACTCAAGAGGCTGAGGCAGAAGAATCACTTGAACCTGGGAGGCAGAGGTGGCAGTGAGCCGAGATCACGTCACTGCACTCCAGCCTGGGTGACAGAGCAAGACACTGTCTCAAAAAAAAAAAAAAAAGTGGGGACAAAAAGACTCAGTGATATACATCCATTGGTCACAGCTAAGTAAAGTTTATCAAATGGTAGGATTTTCTCTGCTATTTTATTATTACAGATATTTAGACATTCTCTTACTGCATAGCTATTCAAAAAGACAATCAAAAGGAATGCAATTCAGCCAAATATTTCAACTACAGGCAGGTAAATGATTCCAGTTAACAGCCTATTATGTCTTTCCAACTTTTTCATGGAGATATCATTAGGCAGTTAAGGGTGAAGGCCAGCTCTGGACCAGCATGGGGGCCTTATAGGGAATCTGCTACCTTTCCCAGGTGCCCCTGAATCACCTTCCAAAACAGGTCATTCAGTCACACACCCCCTCACTTTCCATCACAGAGTCCAGAGAGTCCTCCCTCACCACATCGCCTTCCCATACCCCAGAGGTATGTGTACCTCAGGACCACTCACTTCCCACAGGGCTTCCTCTTGTTTCCTCATGCTCTGACCACCCCACACTCCCTGTCTACCCCTTTCCCCAGTCAGCTGCCCCCTCTTACTTGGGTCTGGAGAGGTAGAAACACTGTCCTCTAGAGAATCCTTATTCTGGGTCCTAGGATTCATACCTATGGAAAGATAAAAACAGCTTGTCTTAAGAAGGCTCACTCTGCAAAAGAGTTCTGACCAGTTATGGTTGAAAAAGGCAAACTGGAGCTAAAAATAAAAATGTAAACCAAGTGCAAATTCTGTGCTGAGTATTTCAAACAGTACAAAAGAATCGATCAAAGAAAAATGATCAATCTAAAATTGGGAATGAGCCAGAACTTTACTCTGAGGTTACTGGTATCATTCTTTGCTAAAAGAGATCACACAAACACGAGCAACCTGCCACTTATTTTAAGAAAACGGACACATTTCAAAGTCATTTCAACTAATTAGAGCAATCTTTAGTGAATATAAATGGCCTATTTTTGACAGTGAGCTTTGATCGTGCCACTGCACTCCAACCTGGGCGACGACAGAGTGAGAGAGACCTTATCTCTAAAAAATATATAAAATAAAACAAAATGACCTATTTAAATTTAATCCACTCATCAGCCATCCTTATCTTCTGGAATTTTCTTCCCCAAATCATGGCTTTCTACAATATGACACAGGACATCAAAACTCACTACTTTAACATAAAAACAATGATTTTACCTATAACTGGGCTGAAAGGAAAAACCGGAAGATTCTTTGAAATGCAATTTATTGACTGTCGAGTAATACAATTAATTTTAAAGCACACCTATCAGTACTTAAATGTCCCTTTCAAAACATATATTTATCAGAAAATTCTGATGCCATAAAAAGAATTGAGGTTGAGCATGGTAGCTCACAAGGCCAGGAGTTCAAGGCTGTGGCAAGCTATAATCACTCCACTGCTCCCCAGCCTGGGTGATAGAGTGAGACACCATCTCTATGTAAATACACATAAAAATATTTTTTTAAAAAGGACTGGAAAGATGCTCACTAAACATTCAACGGTGGCTAACTCTGAGAAGAAAGCTGGAGGAAGGGATAGGAGGTAAAAGAGAATTTGTACTTTTTACTCTAAATACTTCTGGGTCATTTGAATATTTTATAACAAGAACAAGTATTTATAAATTTCTTGTGAAAGCTTTGAAAAAACAATCTACAACATGACAGAAAGCACTTGCAAATCATGCACCTGGCAAAGGACTTGCATCCAGAAGATATAGGGAACTCTCAAATTCAAAAGCAAGAAAACGAACAACCCAATGAGAAAAGGACAAACAACATATGCAAAAGGAACATAAGTATATTAAAAGATGCTTAACATCAGTAGTCATTAAGGAAATAGCAAATTAAAAGCACAGTGATTTGCCAGGCATGGTGGCATGCACCTGTGTTCACAGCCACTCAGGAGGCTAAGGCAGGAGGACTGCTTGTGCCCAGAAGTCCAAGGTTGCAGTGAGCTATGACTGTGCCACTGCACTCCTGCCTGGGTTTCTGAAAGAGCAAGACCCCGTCTCAAAAGAAAAAAAAAAAAAAGTGCAGTAAGATACCACTACATGCTTATTTGATTTGAATGATGAAATAATGAAAATGACTGGATATACCAAGTGTTGACAAGGATATGGAACAACAGGAAGCCTTACACATTGTTGATAACAATGCAAAATGGCACACCACTTTGGAAAACAGATTTACCATTTGACCCAGCAATCTACTCATAGAAATTTATACAAGAAAAATGAAAACTTAAGTTCGTACGAAAACTTTGTTCATATAAAATCATGTAAACATTTATAGAAGTCTTATTCATAGTTGCCAAAACCTGGAAACAGCCCAATTATCTTTCAACTGGGGGAAGGATAAACAAATTGTAGTTCATCCATACAATGGAATACTACTCAGCAATAAAAAGGAGGCAACTATTGACACGTGGCAACGTGGATGAATCTCTCAAATGCAATATGGTGAGTGAAATAAGCCAGACTCAAAAAATTACATACTGTATGATTCCATGTATGTTACATGCTGGGAAAGGTAAAACCAGAGGGACAGAGAACAGATGAGTGGTTGCCAGAGAACACATGGACGGACTGAGGACAAAGCAACAGCACAAGGGAATTTTGGGTGGTGATGGAAATTTTCTTATCTTGATGTGTTTGTTTGTGGGTATACAACTCTATGCATTTGTCAAAACTCACAGAACTGTACACTAAATATAGCACATTTTACTGGACATAAATTTTTAAATAACTAATTTTTTTATTTAAAAAGATGGGCTCACGCCTGTAATCTCAACCCTTTGGGAGGCCGAGGCGGGGGGATCACTGAAGGTCAGAAGTTCGAGACCAGCCTGGCCAACATGGTGAAACCTCGTCTCTACTAAAAATACAAAAATTAGCCTGGCATGGTGGTGGGCACCTATAATCCCAGCTACTCGGGAGGTTGAGGCAGAAGAAGCAGCACTTGAACCCGGGAGGCTGAGGTTGCAGTGAGCTGAGATCACACCACTGCACTCCAGCCTGGGCCACAGAGCAAGACTCTGTCTGAAAAAAATAAATCAGTAAAAATAAAAATAAAGATGACATCACCTGGCCAAAACAATTTTAGGACTTTTCTTTTGGAACTGCTTGGAGCAGATTTTTAAAAACTAATATTCGTTATACTAGAAGATACATGTATTAAGTCAGACAAATACAGTATTTCATTTAATTCAAACCCACACCAGTAGATATGAGGTAGGTATGATCCTTTTCCACAGATAAAGAAACTGAGGCTCAGAGAAGTTAAGCAACTTACTGAAGATCTCACAGTAAGTAGGAGGAACCTGAATTTAGATTCTTTCTGCTCAACTTTACAGATGCTCTATTTCTTGACTATCCATCTGGGGCACCAATTTTTAGCTGTTGAAATGTTATCTGTTCTTTGTCAATAGCCAAAAGCCACTTGGAGCTAAATTTTCTGGAAAAAAAAAAAAAAACCTTGGCTGACAACTTTCATTTTCATACAAATATAAAGCATGATTATAAAGAAGCAACGAGGTGGATTTTCTTATTTAGCTTGAGAACTGGTATGAAGGCAAACTGGCATTTGCAAAACACTCTGAGCAATAACAGAATTGTTACCATATCACCTCCCAGGTTTGGCTGCCAAGTTTGCTCATTTGATCACCTGTTTTTGTTTTTAAAGAAAACCTGTTCTAGACTTGGTCTGCAAGACAACTCAAATTCTTACACTAATAAAGAGTTCAAAAAAAGAAAAAAAAAAAGAAAAGAAATAGTTCAACTTAACAGAGCAGCTTTGAATCCTAGGCCAAAAGTAGATCTGTGCCATCTCTAGTGGACACACCTACCTACACACACACACACACACACACACACACACACACACACACGTACACGCATACCCCGAAAAAGCAAATATTTTCAGGACTTCCAGGAAGCTATTATGCTTTTAAGCAAATATTTTAAGGACTTCCAGGAAGCTACTCACACACAGTTTCCTTGTAATTCAAGCCCAACACACTGCCTTTCCCACTGGCTCTCTGAGGTCTTATTTTCAGTCATAAAGACTTGCTGTTGGCATATGAAGAGTCCCACCAGCCTGCAATGATGGAGGTGAAACCTCATGGTCAGCCAGCTCTGCTCCAACCCAACATTTGGGAATGAAGTCTCACACTCAAAGTTCAAAGCCAGACATAGACTTCGGAAGCCAATGCTGGTAAGAGTCATCTCAGCTCTGTCTCTTTTGACATCTGTTCAGAATTGTGAATGTGTTCTCTGGCTGAAAACCTCAAGGTCAAAAAGGTTACTCAGTGTGGAGCCTCTAGGGCTAGTTCCAAGCCCATATCTAGAAGCCTGTGCCTGGGGCAAGTGGTTTCTCTTCTCTGGGCTACAGAGGCAGCACTTACCCATAAAAAAAACTGACCTGGCCTGGAGAAATGACGGAGGTCCTTCCATCCAGTCTCAGTATGCTATGAGTTACTTTTACTTTGGCTCTCAGGCCAAATATACTGCATGCACCTAATATTCAACACAAATATCAAGTTGCAGATTCTAAGCCTCAACACTAAAGAGAAAGAAAACATGGCATCCACTTATTTTCTTTTTCAAAATGATTTAACTCCAATAAAGGAAGACATTTACTAGCAAGTCTTCTAAAATGGTGCCCAGTTAAAGATACAGAGGGATAAAAACTATCTGCCCAGTCACACCAACTGCCCTGTCTCTGCTGGGCAGCAGGGTGAAAAACAAGTGAAGACTGCAGCTACCAGGTCCCCACCAACAACACTCCAAATGAAATTCTGTGGGGCTGGGAGGGAAACCCACAGAGATGATACTCCTGTGAATCATGATTCACATATGAATCATGTCCAAATGCAGGAGAAAGACTGAGTCACGCTTGAGTGCCTGCAGATGGTGCAAAGAGGTGAAGGTAGGGTCACAGATAAGGTTTCTCTGTTTGGATTTTTCTCTGATTTTTTTTTTCCCCTGGGATGGAGTTTCACTCTTATCACCCTGGCTGGAGTGCAATGGCATGATCTTGGCTCACTGCAACCTCCACCTCCCGGGTTCAAGCGATTCTCCTGCCTCAGCCTCCCAAGTCGCTGGGATTACAGGCGCCCGCCACCACGCCCAGCTAATATTTGTATTTTCAGTAGAGGCGGGGTTTCAACATGTTGGTCAGGCTGGTCTCGAACTCCTGACTTCAAGTGATCCACCCGCCTTGGCCTCCCAAAGTGCTGGGATTACAGGCGTCAGACACCGCGCCAGTCTTCTCTGATTTTTTAATGAATGAAATGTTAACCAGTTGTGAATTCAGACCCCACCTTGTCCCAAAACAAGGACTCTATGTGGTAATCTAGCCCATAATGTACCCAACCTACTTTTGATCCAGACAACCGCTCTGTGGGACAGGCAGTCAGGAAGGGGAGGATCTTTATGCCCATTACACAGATGAAGAACCTGAGCCTCAGCTTGAAAGTCCAGTGAGGGGCAGGGGGAATTCTGATCCTGGTTGTTTTCATCACAGCACACTCCCTCATCTAGCACATCCTCATTTAGCAGAGATCACATGTTCAAACCACACTGAAACCATTCACAGTTCAATCCCCCACAAGACGGCTTTCCTTTCATCGTCATTACCCCACATGGGAATTGCTTGAAAGAGAATCCCAAGTGCATGAGGAAGCAGAGCTCCTTGAGGTCGGGAGAGTCAGTGTCTTAGTAGTTTTTGTTTCTTCTCAGGCCTTAGCACAGTGCCTAGAGTTCAATACACTTTTCTCGAATGGGTAAGAGTTTAGTGAGTTTGAAGAAGGCAAAACATGTTCCATGAAAACTGAGGATGGCTTGAAAGGAAAGTCACTTAAAAACCAAGCAAGGAGAAAAAGACTACCCAAGTCTTTGAAAAAAAGGAATCTAGTTAATTGTTTAAGAAGGTTATAAGAAAGAAAAGCATTAGAGAAAAATTAAATCATGCTTCAGTAGAGAGAAAGCTAACTTCAGAAGATTTTTAGCATTCATTCAACTATCTATTATGTGCCAGGAACTGTTTTTTTTTTTTTTTTTTTTTTGAGACGGAGTTTTGCTCTTGTTGCCTAGGCTGGAGTGCAATGGCGTGACCTTGGCTCACTGCAACCTCCGCCTCCCGGGTTCAAAGCGATTCTCCTGCCTCAGCCTCCCAAGTAGCTGGGATTACAGGCATGCGCCACCACGCCTGGCTAATTTTGTATTTTTAGCAGAGATGGCGGTTTCTCCATGTTGGTCAGGCTGGTCTCGAACTCCCGACCTCAGGTGATCCGCCCGCCTTGGCCTCCCAAAGTGCTGGGATTACAGGCGTGAGCCACTGTGCCCAGCCACCAGGAACTGTTTTAAGCTCTGGGAATACAGTCATGAGCAAAACAAAAATCCTGACAGTCATGGAACTTACAATAAAAAAAGTACAAAATTTAAAAATCTAGCATGCCAGGTGGCACAATGGAGAAATATTAGGTAGAGAGGATAGGAGGGGAGTGCTGAAGTAAAATATGGCAATTCAGGCAAGACCTGAAGGAAGCGAGAGAGCGAGCTGTGGGAAGGGTGGCCATGTCATTTATCATCCAATACAGGACACCTCTGAGACTGGAAGGGGACACTATTAATAGTCATATGGGTTCACAAATTCAAACCAGGACTGTCTTGGGCAAATGCAGACATCTGGATCTTAGCCATGATGCTCTCTGGAGTAAAGGCACAGCAGAGGGGCGAACAAGAGGAAGGACCTGCAATTCAGAGTGAGCCTGATCTATCTGGGGAACCTCCAGAGTGAAATGAGAGGGAGAAAGCAGGAGACGAGGACTGAGCGTAACAAGCAGCCACATGACATGAGGGGTCTATCTGCCACCATAATGCCTTGGCTTTTACTCCAAGTGAGCTGGGAAGCCCTTGGAAAATTTTGTGCAGAGAAGTTCATAATCCAAATTCTATTTTATAAAGGTCACTCTGATTTGTTGTGTTGAAAATAAACGATATGGAAGGGCAAGGGAGGAGCCCAAGACCAGGTAACTCGCTACTGCATCCAGGCAAAAGATGATGGCACCTTAGGCCAGGCTAAGACTGATGGAAGTAAGACTATGGATATATCCTGAAGATCTGACATTAATTGGTTTTGCATATGGTTATAACAAATTAATGTCCGATATATGGTTATAAAAATTTGAATAATTTTATCTAATTTCTTTCAGTGGCTCATTAACATAATTGATCAGGTAGCTTAAGGTCAAAGATGGGAGTTCAGTTCCCATGTGGCTATAGATCACCTCTTGATGGCCACTAACCCCTTTGAAAACACATGCTATAGGTTACATAAAGGGACTGGGAAAGGGAAAAGATGACCCCACTTAACAATATCACCCTGACTAGAAAAACAACCCCAGGATCCCACACCATCTATGAGAAGCCAAGCATTCAGAGCATACGTATATAATTAAGCCAGGTGTGGTGGTATGTGCCTGTAGTCCCAACTATTTGGGATGCTGAGGTGAAAGGATCACATCATCCCAAAAGGTTGAGGCTGCAGTGAGATCAAGCCACTGTACTCTATCCTGGACAACAGAGGAAGATCCTGTCTCTTAAAAAAAAAAAAAAAAACTATGTATAATTAAATACTTGCATACCAATTAAATAATAATATTGTGTGTTATTCAAATTCTTCTCACATACGGCAACTTGGTCTTGGAAATATAAATTCATTTGTCCATAAATGTGTTAAACATTGAGTGGAGAAAATGAATAAAGATAAGCTCTTTCAGTCTAGTGAGGAGACAGACATGGAAAACAAGCAGTGAGATCACAACATGCCAAGTTGTACAATTGGGTTATGCATACGGAGCTGTGCGGAAACATGCCTAACACACCCCGGGAGGGCATGGGAAGGAGGGGGAACCACCGGGGCAGGCTTCAAAGAAGAGGTATTGTTGCAGCTGAATAATAAACTAAGTTCATGCCTGCCAGTCAGAATCAGGGGTTAAAGACAGGGAAGAAGCATATTCTATAGAGAGGAACCTATCTATGCAAAGGAACACGAGGACACAGTTCTTTTGAGGAGCACAAGAAATGCCTGGAATACAAAATATGTTATTGTAATGACAACAACAGCTCCTATTTGTTGAGTGCTCACCATGGATGTCCAGCACTGTCCTAAGAATTTATGTGGATTATCACATTTAATAGTCAATCTCCAGCCAGGTGTGGTGGCTCATGCCTGTAATCCCAGCACTTTGGGAGGCTGAGATGGGCAGATCACAGGAGGCCAGTAGTTTGAGACCAGACTGCCCAACATGGCAAGACTCCATCTCTACTAAAAATACAAAAATTAGCTGGGGGTGGTAGTACACACCTGTAATCCCAGCTACTTGGGAGGCTGAGGCAGGGGAATTGCTTGAACCCGGGAGGCAGAGGTTGCAGAGAGCTGAGATCGCACCACTGCACTCCAGCCTGGGAGACAGAGTGAGTCTCTTCCTCAAAAAAGAAAAAAAAAAAATTCAATCTCTTCATGATAAAGACACTGAGATACCCAGAAATTAGTGTAGTAACTGGCCTGAGGGCTTCACTGCTCATGAGGTGGAGTCAGGCCTCATGTCCTAAGATCCTGGAGCCTGCGCTCTTTCCACCTGCAGTACCATGTGGAAGAGGAGGCAGGTGAAGATACAACCACAGGGAGGAGCTGGGTGATGATCAGCACTATAGCCATGAAGAGCCATGAAAGGGTTACATGTGGGAAGGAGTGGCTGATCAGATCTGCATCTGGAAACATCAGTGACAGTATGGACTATGAATCAGAAGGGATGAGAACAGAGCAGGAAGATCATTTTGAAGGCTACTGCAATAATCCTGGCCACAAATGACAGGAGTCTGAACAATGCAGTGAGAACGGAGGTGAGGAGCCAATCAGAAGAAGGAGTGGAAGAGGAAGCATGGGCTGAGGAACAGGGAGACATGAGTTTGGCTGTCAATGCATTAAGGATGAGGTACTTGGGGGCCATCTGAGCAGAGAGGTCCATCAGGTGGACACACCTACAGCTCAGAAGCCAAAGAGAAGGCTGAGCCAGAGCTTCAGGTTGCAGCAAATGCTTTTCCAATTTGAGTCTGCCAGGGAACCCTTAGCTCAGAGGACTCCACAATGGTGTCATGTTAAAATCTTCCACAACCACCCCAAATAAAGATTCTTTGAAACTTCTTTTCCCTAAAATGATTTTAAAATTCTAAAACAAATTTTATGGGAAATCAACTGGTCCACCTGAGCTATCCCAGGCCCCAAACAACTTCCAAGACTACCTGGGTACATTCTGGTGCTGCTACCATCAGAACCTGTAATTCCCCCTGCTTCAGTTAACCAGTGAAACTAGTTCAAGTATAGTCAAATGAGTCCCAGAGTAGCCCTCCTCGGCGCAACTCTACCCCAAACAGCCTGAGAGGCTCAAACTCTGGGTTCCTAAAAATGGCTCCTTGGCATAGCAAAGCAATAGCCCCTCTAAAGGTACTTTCTTTTCTTCCTTTTTTTTTTTTTTTTTGAGACGGAGTCTTGCTCTGTCGCCCAGGCTGGAGTGCAGTGGCACGATCTCGGCTCACTGCAAGCTCCACCTCCCAGGTTCACACCATTCTCCTGCCTCAGCCTCCCAAGTAGCTGGGACTACAGGTGCCCGCCACCACGCCCAGTTATTTTATTTTTTTTTTGTATTTTTTTGGTAGAGACAGGTTTCACTGTGTTAGCCAGGATGGTCTCAATCTCCTGACCTCGTGATCCACCCGCCTTGGTCTCCCAACGTGCTGGGATTACAGGTGTGAGCCACAGTGCCCGGCTAGGTATTTACAAATAATCTGGCAGCCAGAGGTAACATTTTCAGCCCTCTGAGTACAGAGGGGCACAGTGTCTTTCTATCCCTACATTTGTATTCAATGTGTTTTCTCATCTAAAATAAATGAATGCTGGTAAGTAGGTTAACCAAAAAATAAGTGAATGAATTAATAAATGAAATAATAACCATTTAGGGATTCTCTTACTGCCAACCCAGATTCCTAGCCTTAGACATAGGCCTCTAGGAATATTGCTGGATGAACCTACCAATGAATAAAGGAAAATATCATCAACCAATTTGATATAACTTCATTTTCATGACACCTTTCTTTTTTTTTTTCTTTTTGAGACAAAGTCTCGCTCTGTCGCCCAGGCTGGAATGCAGTGGCGCAATCTCAGCTCACTGCAACCTCCGCCTCCCAGGTTCAAGCAATTCTCCTGCCTCAACCTCCCGAGTAGCTTGGATTACAGGCATATGCCACCACACCTGGCTAATTTTTGTATTTTTAGTAGAGATGGGGTTTCACCACGTTGGCCAGGCTGGTCTCGAACTTCTGACCTCAGGTGATCCACCTGGCCTCCCAAAGGGTGAGCATTACAGGCGTGAGCCACTGTGCCCAGCAATGACACCTTTCTTAAGCTAGGTTTTAGAAATTCAAGTTAGCTTATAGAACACTAAAGCACAACGTAGTAGCCCAATTTTTTTAAAGTTTTAATGTTTTCCACACTCATTTTGTACAATATCTCTGTCCTCTGAGGCTCCACAAATGCTGCCCCTACTGATCCAAGCTCATGTTACTCTATCCCTTAAAGGTACTCTGAACAATGTCACGAAAAGAGGACAGCAGCCTGAGTCAGGATACCTGGCTATTGGTTTGAGAGGTTACTTTAATATTTCTACCTCTCTGGACGTTAAGTTGCCCATGTATAAAATATATTTAATAACTTAAATATATTTTGATCACCCACTGGGGTGATAAGACAATAGATATAAAAGTATTTCCAAAAAGCATAAAACCAAAGTATCATACCAAACCAAATTCATACTGCTTCCCCCACCCGCACTGAAACTTCACCTTCTAACTGTCTACCTAACCAAATTCTACCCTTCAAGTCTTTGGTGCGTGCTCACTTCTCTTTTTTTTTTTTTTTTTTTTTTGAGATGGAGTCTGGCTGTGCAGCCCAGGCTGGAGTACAATGGCACAACCTCAGCTCACTGCAACCTCCGCCTCCCAGGTTCATGAGATTCTCCTGCTTCAGCCTTCCCAGTAGCTGGGACTACAGGTGTGCATCACCATGCCTGGCTAATCTTTTTGTGTTTTTGGTAGAGATGGGGGTTTTACCATGTTGGCCAGGCTGGTCTCGAACTCCTGACCTCAAGTGATCCACCCACCTCAGGCTCCCAAAGTGCTAGGATTACAGACATGAGCCACTGCGCCCAGCCCTGGTGCATGCTCACTTCTCTAGGCAACTATGTAATCCTTCTCTTTTCTGGTCTTAAAACTGGACACATACTTCTCCCCTCTGGGTCTCTCCTGTTATGGAGGTGGGTTTGCTCCCCATTGCCCCTGACAACCAAAAGTCCCTCTAGAGCACAGACCACTCCAGCTCTGTCCATGGTGTTGCCCTCAATACTATGCTCCTAAGCTGCCCTCAATCACAACTCTGTGACAGAATGATGATAAATGTGGCTTGACCAACATGTTCTGAGCTAAAAATGTTAACGTGCAGCCCATTTTTAATTCCATGCATTATAGAGCACTGTTTCTAAATAGGTCACCCAAAAGTGTGGCTGAAATGATCTCAAAATAGACATGGCCCTGCTTTTCTGGCCCTTGTGTCATTTCCAGATGTGAGCCTGATCTAAACATCCCAACTCTATTACCTCTTGGATTGGTTACCTGCACCACTGTTGCTAAGCAGGCCGACAGAAAGCTCCTCTGTTCCACTGAAGTTCAAGAAGGACATGCCGTCACCAGGCTGGCGGGAATTGCTGTGCCTGCAGAGAACAGAGCCCAGCCACCTGGCTTAATGTAGATCATCACCTCTTTTTCCTGCTCACCTATATCCCGGGGGTGGGAGGTAGGTTCATAAAAATCAGGCCTGAATATTCAGCCAACTCAAGCTGGCAGCCACTGGAATCCTTATCTTAAGCCACCAGGCCACAGTGCTTAGTTTGTGTGTCAGTGCCGGCTCCTTGTGACCCTGGCACCCCTGCTGCTTTCCCACCACCAAGCTAGACCACCCGCCCTGTCTGCCCTATGCCTCCCTATGCCTCCCTATGCCCTATGCCTCCCTTTTACAAACAAGGATGGGTGTGAGGTGCTTGAATATATGGACCTGAGTTCATCTGGTTAAGAAGGTCACGCCCTCCCCATATCCCTTATCTATCCCCTAGGGTGTCAAGGTGACTGAAAGAGGGGCCAAAGACTGCATTTTGCAAAGTGTTTTCTAAAGCAACAGGAATATTGAGTCCAGGTGTAACCCGGGCTCACGCCTGTCAAGGCTTAAATGACTTTCCTCCTACACTGACTCTCACTGGATGTTCGTAACACATTCAGAGCATTGGTTCAAAAAGAGTTGTTTCTATAAACATAAGCCTTCATTTCCATTGCCCTTAGCATTAACTTATTCTAAACTCAACAGTGGGATTTATTTCTGAATGACCAAAATCACAAAAGTCAGAGAGGTTGCCCAAAACACACAGCATGAATCTCCTGTCTCAGCATTCCAAATCCAAAGAATTTCCTCTCTTGGATTCACCTTTGACTGAGGTTTAGAAAAACCCACGTTTGAGGTTTACAAAGTGTGTTCTGGATTCAAAATAAACCTAAAACAGGGCCTAGGTAACATCTCAGGCAAAAATGTCAGGATGTTTGCTTTGCCCTTCACCAACTGAAGGGAATGCCACTGGCCAACAAAGGAAGGCCCTGACCTCATACTGTCTTTTCAAGTCTTCTAAACAACATTTTGTCAATAGTCTGTTCTGCACATTGTCCTGGGTGCTGGAGAGTGTTCTCAGGTTACCTTCCAGAGCCCTGTGCACATCCTCACCTTCCAGCAGCTTCATGATATGCTAACTCCAGCAGCTCTGCAGAGGAGTGAGTTGGATCCCTCTGCCCGCTGCCTTGTAGCTCCGCCATATTCTGTCGGGTCTGGTGGTGGATCTGGATGGCTTCTCCGGATGGCCCTACCCAGATAAAGAACCACTGAGCATCATTCCCACCTGATAGCTAGTGCTGTGCACTTAACTATACTCTCCCTTCTTTCCAGCTACTGGGATACAGATGTTGGTGAGATTGAAAGAAGAACACACCACAGAGGGTGGCTCCCAAAGGACATCTGCTCTTCCAAGCAGGACCCATCCTACTAAGGAGCCTCACCTTTATCATCCTGTCTAATCTGTTAAGAATATTTTAGGATATTCTGCCTCAGGTGTGTCAACTGAATAGCCACAGTGAAATATACAAGTATAGGAGGCATGGCCCCTTGCCAGGAGGGCTAACACAAACTCAGTAAGAGGGAAATACAAGTGAAACACCAAATGATTCTGTTAATACCTAGGAGAGTAACAACTGTGACTCTAAGAAGCAGAAGATGTTTAAGTGCAAAAAAGGCAGAGTAGGAAACAAATTACAATTAGTCAAGTCTACAAAATGAGGCTTCCTGGGAAAGGAGAACTTGTAGAGCTAAGTGTTCAACAAAGTTAACAGCGATTGAAGGAAGAGGGCATCTGGGTAGATGAAATGATACCTGTGAAATCCCAAACCTGAAAGAGGCAAAACGTGCAGGAGACCACAAGATTAGCCAAGAAGGAAGAGAGCCTCTGAGGATAGGAATGAGGAAGACAGGGAACCCTGATGAAGGAGGGCCTTGGCTACTGAAAGGCCAGCTAAACAGGAGGAAGAAGCGAAGCAAACTGTTTGCAGAATATGGTTCCAATAAAGTGTACATGAAGAGTGGGAGGAGGAGAAGCACAGAAGCATGAAAAGATGAAGGTCACTGAAGAAACACCAAGAGTTCTAAGTGACCTGGAAGGGAACCAGTGGAGACAATAATGGAGGGGAAAGGACACAGAAAGAAACAAGTAGTGTGACTGATTATAGCAGAGATAAGGGGGCAGAACGGGGTTTAGGCATGACCCCCCAGTTACAGCCAAATGATTCAGATCTATTTCTCACTTATTTAACTTTTAAATATTAAAGGCAAGTACAAAAGAAAATAGGCATTTCCAGGTATTCAGCAGGATGGTTTCCATGAAAAAAATAAAATAAAAATTTGGCCAGGCACGGTGACTCACGCCTGTAATGCCAGCACACTGGGAAGCCGGGGTGGGTGGACTGCTTGAGATCAGGAGTTTGAGACCAGCCTGACCAACATGGTGAAACCCCGTCTCTACTAGAAATACAAAAATTAGCCAGGTGTGGTGATGTATGCCTGTAATCCCAGCTACTTGGGAGGCTGAGGCAGAAGAATTGTTTGAACCCAAAAGGCAGAGGTTGCAGTTATCTGAGATCACGCCACTGTACTCCAGCCTACGTAACAGAGTGAGACACTGTCTCACACACACACACACACAAAATCCTGGAGTTTAATGCATTTGTTCCTTTCCAGCTCAATAAGAGCCCATTAAGCTAAAGTTTAATTTTAGCCACAGCTTGAGACAATCTTACTGTCATCTTCTTGAGAACAGAATATAGATAAAAAAGAATGGACTAGGAAAAAGTGAATTCAGGGGAAAATTTTTTTTCAGTTGTCAGAGAGACCTAACAGAAAACAAAACAACATAACTCCTTGTAACCAAGACAGGATATCAATATCCAAGAGATCTAAGAGAAGAAGGAATGAACAAGAATGAGGGACATCTGACTTAGGAAAGAAAGCAGGTGGCAATGCATAGTTCCTCTCAAATAGAAACAAAGGGCCGGATGCGGTGGCTCACATCTATAATCCCAGCACTCTGGGAGGTTAAGGTGGGCAGATTGCTTGTGTCCAGGAGTTCAAGACCAGCCTAGGCAACATGGTGAAACCCTGTCTCTACTAAAAATACAAAAAACTAGCCAGGCCTGGTGGCACGTACCTACAGTCCCAGCTACTTGGGAGGCTGAGGTGGGAGAATCACCTGAGCCCTGAAGGTTGAGGCTGCAGTGAGCTGAGACTGCACCACTGCACTCCAGCCTAGGCAACTAGAGTGAGACCCTGTCTCAAAAGAAAAAAAAAAAAAAAAGGGCAGAAACAAACAAAAAAGCCCTCAGGTTTATACAGCTAATTAGTTACAAAGCCTATTCCCAAGTGCATCTTCAAGGATCTTTACAAGAACCCCTGGGATGGCCAAAGTGGGCATGGTTATCCCATCTTACAGGTGGAGCAACAGAGGCACCTGACCAAGGACACATGGGTGACCGACACTGAGGACCAGGGCTAGGAGCTCCTAGTCCAAGGCTCTCTCTTAAGCAACCAACTTACCCACAGGAAAAGTGTGCATCCAGCGCCTTCTGTTGGACGTAAGCTTCATGGGCATCCGAGAGGGAGCGAAGGGGTTAATCAGTGCTCTCTGGGGCGTGTATCCACCAGGTCGAACATGCAGCATGGATTCTGCACTGCCAACGTGAAACCTCCCTGGTGCACTGGAGTCTCGCTGTGGTGGCTCCATCATGTTCTCCAGGACATCTGCCAGTTATCATGGAGTTGAGTCACAAAGAAAAACCACAGAACCACAGTGAAACCAGAGCTAGGTAGAATGATAAACCAAGGCTGACAAGAATCTTGGGCATTATAAATGTCAGGGAGTGAGAGAAATGAGCAAAACTGTCAAACTATAAAGAAATGAAATATGTTTGCATTTGTTTGCTTTTAAATACTTGGGAGAAGGGAGTTTTGGTTCTAAATTACTGGCAAAATGAAGTCACAACCAAATCTGATGGGAAGGACACTGCCTGAAGATCCTGAACTTTGAGCTGGAAGCAATGACTGAATGATGGGACTTGAGTTGTCTCCCTTGGGAAAGGAACGAGTATATTCTCTAAGAGGGAGGAACAATAAAAATAGCTATGTGGTCACCAGAAGGGCAGATCTTGGCAGAGCTAGTCAATGTCTTCACTATAAACCCATTTGATTTTCCTACTGGACACAAGACTATAGTTCCCAGACCCTTTGCAATAAAGCCAAATGACTTAGTTCTGGCCAGGTAGAAATTATATGCTTCAAATCCAGGCCTGGACCACAATGATCTCCACAAATGATCTGCATTCTTTTTCCCTTTGTGGCAACCCAGGAGACCAATGTTGATAATCATGGCATCCCAGGATGGAAGGAACCTGAGTTCCTGAATGGACTGAGTGGATCAGTAGCCCCTCCACTGACTTAGTGGGCTGGGACATGAGTAAGCAATAAAATGTTATTATGCTAAAAAAATTACTGAGAAAAAAATAACGAAGAAATGGATGCCTCCAGCCTTGACCAGGCAAGGAGATGGTATGATATTTAGACACCACCTGTCTGGCGCAATGGTAGACAGGTCCCATTATGGAGACAGAGACAGCATGCCTGAGTGGATCAAAGAACTGAAATCCACAACCAACTCTTCTTGTGTGTATTCCATGTTCATTAAGCAACCACCCAGATGAAAAAGTGGGTCCAGCAGATGCAAACTCCAAGGAATTTGTCTTGGCCATCATTATCTACCCAATGCCTAGCACAGAACCTCATACACTGTAATACTGTATTTCATTCCTCAAGTTGCTTTGCAGGAAAGAAGAGAATGTTCAGATTTCTGTGAAAGTTTTACTGTTCATTGTAAATTAATGAATTGATGCTCTAACTTACAAAATAAAAAAGAACATAGTCTAGTTAGTTATTAAGGAAATAAAAGAGAAAAACCTAGTAAAAAAAAAAAGATGAGTACAGGCCAGGTACAGTAGCTTATTCCTGTAATCCCAGCACTTTGGGAGACCAAGGTGGAAGGATCACTTGAGCCCAGGAGTTCGAGACCAGCCTGGGCAACAGATTGAGACCGTCCCTACAAAAACTTTAAAAACTAGCCGGGTGTGGTGGTGCACACCTGTAGTCCCAGCTATTTGGGAGGCTGAAGTGGGAGGATCACGTGAGCCCAGGAGGTTGAGGCTGTAGTGAGCCAATATTGTACCACTGCACTACAGCCTGGGCAACAGAGTGAGAACCTGTCTCAAAACAAACAAATAAAAGAAACCACCCATGAAACTGCTCAGGCCATCAAGGGTATGCATATATAAAAAGCCACCAAGTATATGAAAGATGTCACTTTGGCCAGGCAAGGTGGCTCACGCCCGTAATCCCAGCACTTTGGGAGGCTGAGGTGGGCAGATCACCTGAGGTCAGGAGTTCGAGACCAGCCTGACCAACATGGTGAAACCCCATCTCTACTAAAAATACAAAAATTAGCCAGGCATGGTGGCAGGCACCTGTGATCACAGCTACTCGGGAGGCTGAGGCAAGAGAATTGCTTGAACCCGGGAGGCAGAGGTTGCAGTGAGCCAAGATCACGCCATTGCACTCCAGCCTGGGGGACAAGAGTGAAACTCCATCACAAAAAAAAAAGAAAGAAAGAAAGAAAGAAATATGTCACTTTACAGAAACAATGTGTACCATTTCCACATTACAATGATGGAGATAGTAGGTGGTCCCAGGCCACACAGCACGGCTGCACACGGGGTCAGTGGCCAAAAAAGAGTACTGAATTATTGCTACATATGCTTAAAAATGCACAGTCATGCCGAACTTAAGGGTTCAGGTGCAGATCCTCTGGTCATTGAGCATGTCCAGGTGAACAAAGCACCCAAGATGTGCTGCCTGATGTAAAGAGCTCATGGTCAGATTAACCCATACATGAGCTCCCCCTGCGAAACCAAGATGATCCTCATGGAAAAGGAATAAATTATTCCTAAACCAGAAGAGGACATTGCACAGAAGAAAAAGATATCCCAAGGCCAGGCATGGTGGCTCACGCCTGTAATCCCAGCACTTTGGGAGGCCGAGGTGGGTGGATCATTGGAGGCCAGGAGTTTGAGACCAGCCTGGCCAACACGGCAAAACCCCATCTCTACTAAAAAAACAAAAATTAGCTGGTGTGGTGGTGTGTGCCTGTAATCCCAGCTACTTGGGAGGCTAAGGCAAGAGAATCACTTGAACCCAGGAGGCAGAGGTTGCAGTGAGCTGAGATCATGCCACTGTACCCTAGCCCGGGCAACAGAGCAAGACTCTGTCTCAGAAAAAAAGAAAAGAAAAAAAAAGAAAAGAAAGAAACTGAAGAAACAAAAACTGATAGTATGGGAATAAATTCGGTACAAAATCAATGCAAATAAAAGTTAAAAAAAAACAGGTAAGTGAAAAAAAAAGTTTTTTGTTTTTTTTTTTTTGAGGTGGAGTCTCCCTCTGTCACCCAGGCTGGAGTGCAGTGGTGGAATCTCGGCTCACTGCAACTACGCCTGCCAGGTTCAAGTGATTCTCCTGCCTCAGCCTCCTGAGTAGCTGGGATTACAGGCACCCGCCACCACACCTAGCTAATTTTTGTATTTTGAGTAGAGACGGCGTTTCACCATGTTGACCAGGCTGGTCTCAAACTTCTGGCCTCAAGTGATCCACCCGCCTTGGCCTCCCAAAGTGCTGGAATTACAGGTGTGAGCCACTGCGCCCGACCGGTAAATGAGAAACTAAAATGCAACATTAAGACAGAGGTTGTTTTATATATGGCACAAATGGAAATCATAAGGAAATAAACCCTTTTGACCCTAGGCCTAAGAAAAGCTTTCCATTAACATATGGAAAGGCATACAGTTAAATGATGGATGAAGAAAGGCTAAACAAAAAATAGTATAATAGAGGCAGGGTGCGGTAACATTGGTTCATGCCTGTAATCTCAGCACTTTTGGAGGCCAATGGGTGGATCCCTCGAGTCCAGGAGTTCAAGACCAGCCTGGGAATGGTAAAACCCCACCTCTACAAAAAAAAATATGATAATCAGCTGGGTGTGGTGGCATGCTATAGTCCCAGTTACTTGGGAGGCAGAAGTGGGAGGATCAATTGAGTCCAGGAGTTCAAGGCCGCACTGAGGTGAGCTGTGATTGCATCACTGCACTTCCCCACCTCTACAAAAAAAAATATGATAATCAGCTGGGTGTGGTGGCATGCTATAGTCCCAGTTACTTGGGAGGCAGAGGTGGGAGGATCGATTGAGTCCAGGAGTTCAAGGCCGCACTGAGGTGAGCTGTGATTGCATCACTGCACTTTATCCTAGGTGCTCTGTCACCAAAAAAAAAAAAAAAAAAAAAAGAAGTATAATATATACATAGCTAACAGCTAAAGTGATTTGTACCTACTGCACTGGCAAAGAAATCATTAAGATGTGGGATTTACACCCCACCTCTGACCAATCCTCCCACCTCCAGTCACCCACTATATTAAGAAAGATGTCCCTGGCTCTGTCTGTGCTTCAGCACTCTTACCTCGAGTGCTGGTGTATCCCAAGGAGCTGCTGACTTCATACTGGTGCAGGTGGGGGTGTGGGATCATCAGGATGTTGGCACTCTTGCCTAGGGAGCTGTCGTCAGAAGCCTGGCTCCTCACTTCCTCAGTGGGCAGTGTGCGGCTTGGTAGGGAAGGGCTGGATGAAACATCACAGGAGCTGGCACTCTTTCGACTGTGACTCTCTCGCTCTCGCACAGATCTGCCAGGCAAGAGACAAAAAGTTACCATCAAGCGAGGGATGCTGTCCTACCTTGAGTTAAAACTAAAACCCATCACCAGCCCAAGCCACATGGAACCCAATAACAAAAATCCCCAGTGTGATCTACAAGTGGGAAACCTGTATGCGGTACTTCACCCTTAACAGCTTGAGATGTTATATAAGAGAGGGGGGAAATGACAGACATTATGCAGCCAAAGTCCTAGGATCATAGTTGTAAAGAAAGGACTGCTCCAGGCTGACCCCACCTAATCCCACTGATTAATCTCTCATCACTAAAAACAGAATGAGAAGAGAGGTATGATGTGATGTGGGAGAAAGAACATAGTGCCCAAGAAGTCTACTTGCCCTCAAATTTGAATCTAAATCTAATCAAGCTTCCAGAGATAATTGCCAGTTTACAGGGAATCTGCAGAATAGAGGAAAACTGAAACACTACAAGGCAACAATCAGCCAAATGTAGAAAGCAAGACATTCTACTGTCACACACACACACAAAAGGCATTATAACCAAATGCAAAAAGTGGATCTTGTTTAGGTCCCATTTCAAACTAACTGCAAAAGCACATTTTTGAGGCAATTCAAAAAACTGACTATGCACTGGCTATTAGAGGGCATTTAGGGATTAGTGTTAATTTTGTTACCAATGATAATGGTACCGTGATGGGTTTTCTTTTAGTTCTTATTTGTTGAAACATATACTAATCAGCTTTGTGCCAGGCTGGGTGACACTAAATAAATAAATAACATGTAAAAAAAGAAAGAAACTTACGCTGAAGTATGTATTATTGAAAAAAAATAGAGGCTGCCTGGGGTTTGTTTTGTTTGTTTGTTTTTGTGAGACGGAGTCTCACTCTGTCACCCAGACTGGAGTGCAGTGGCATGATCTCAGCTCACTGCAGCCTCCACATCCTGGGTTCAAGTGATTTTCCTGCCTCAGCCTCCCAAGTAGCTGAGATTACAGACGCCCACCACCACGCCTGGGTACTTTTTTCGTATTTTTAGTAGAGACGGGGTTTCACCACGTTGGTCAGCCTGGTCTCAAACTCCTGAACTCAAGTGATCCACCTGCCTTGGCCTCCCAAAGTGCTGGGATTACAGGTGTGAGCCACTGTGCCCGGCCAATCCTGGGATTTGTTTTTAAAATATTCCATCCAAAATTTAAACGTGGGAGAGGTCATGAAACAAGGCTGACAACATGGTGATAACTGTTCATGATACTATTCTCTATTTGAGCACGTCTGAACATTTCCTAATAAAAGTTTATATATGCATATATATATATATATATATAGCCTTATTAAAACATAAAATTCCCTAAGGGGAAAACCTCTAAAAGCAACAGGAAGAAGGATCAAAAAGAAAGAAGCCCTATAGAGAAGCAAAAGCTCAGAACGAAAAAGCAAGCCCACCAACGGGGCTGCCCTTCTGGCATCAGAGCTGCTCCCTTTCCTCCTGGAAGGATTTTTTTAGTAAGAGCTTAAACGGAGCCTGAAAACAGATTCCAAGTGCTGACTACATGTTTGTTCTTTCCACAGTAAATATTTAAACACCAGTATACGCTTAGCCATGTGTGAAGGTAGCACCAATTAAGACACAATTTGTGCCTTCAGAGACCACACAACCTGGGTACCACCAGGTCTTGTCATCTTTAATTAGAAAAAGAAAATCAATCTTGAACTATGAGAGCATTTTTAAAGACTACAAAGAAAAGCCCCTAAGTAGCTCTTACTGAGCCCCTAAGCAGCATCCACACATAGGAGAGAGGCTGCTGACAGCACTTAATTCTGAGCTCTAAGCCTTCTCAGGTAGGACTGGATGAGAGAAAAGGGCAGAAAACAATCATGTGGTCACTCTAAGTTCATTTGCCACAAAATTAAGAGACATAATATTCTTCCACTCAGTTGCGCTTAAAGCTACAGAGTTAAGAAATCTGGCGGGGGCAGTGGCTCACACCTATAATCCTAGCACTTTTGGAGGCCAAGGTGGGTGGATCACCTGGGGTCGGGAGTTCGAGACCAGCCTGACCAACACTGAGAAACCCCGTCTCTACTAAAAATACAAAATTAGCCAGGCGTGGAGGCGCATGTTTGTAATCCCAGCTACTCGGGAGGCTGAGGCACAAGACTTGCTTGAACCTGGGAGGCGGAGGTTGTGGTGAGCTGAGATTACACCATTGCACTCCAGCCTGGGCAACAAGAGCAAAACTCCAACTCAAAAAAAAAAAAAAAGAAAGAAATCTGGAAAATTGGCCGGGCGCGGTGGCTCACGCCTGTAATCCCACCACTTTGGGAGGCTGAGGTGTGCGTATCACGAGATCAGGAGATCGAGACCATCCTGGCTAACACGGTGAAACCCCGTCTCTACTAAAAATACAAAAAATTAGCTGGGCGTGGTGGTGGGCGCCTGTAGTCCCAGCTACTCGGGAGGCTGAGGCAGAAGAATGGTGCGAAGCTGGGAGGCAGAGCTTGCAGTGAGCCGAGATCGCGCCACTACACTCCAGCCTGGGCAACAGAGCGAGACTCTGTCTCAAAAAAAAAAAAAAAAAAAAAAGAAATATGGAAAATTGATTCACAGTATTTGGTACACAGGGAAAAAAATATAAGCTAGAGCTGTTTCACACATTCACAAAAAAAGAAAGTCAACATAAATAATATAAACATAAGCATAAAATCCAAGATGAGGCCGGGTGCGGTGGCTCATTCTGTAACCCCAGCACTTTGGGAGGCCAAGGCGGGTGTGGGCCACTTGAAGTCAGGAGTTTGAGACCAGCCTGGCCAACACAGTGAAACCCTGTCTCTACTAAAAAATATAAAAATTAGCCGAGTGTGGTGGTGCATGCCTGTAGTCCCAGTTACTTGGGAGGCTGAGGCATGAGAATTGCTTGAACCCAGGAGGCAGAGGCTGCAGTGAGCCGAGATTGCAGCACTGCACTCCAGCCTAGGAGACAGGGCAAGACGCCATCTCGAAAAAAAAAGAAAAAAAAAATTCCGCCAAGACTATAAAGTATTTGAAGAAAATATGAAATACACATCTGTAACTCTGGGGTAGAGAGTGCTTTCTTACACAAGACCCACAAATGAATAGATGAGTAGATCTAACTACATCACAATTAAAAACTACTACATGGCTGAGTGCAGTGGCTCATGCCTATAATCTCAGCACTTTTGGAGACTAAGGCGGGAGGATGGCTTCAGCCAGGAGTTTGAGACCAGCCTGGCAATATGTGAGACCTCATCTCTACAAAAAATTAAAAACTAGCTGGACATGATGGTGCATGCCTGTAGTCTCAGCTACTTGGGAGGCAGAGGCAAGAGGATCACTTGAGCCCAGGAGGCAGAGGTTACAGTGAGCTGTCAACGTGACACTGCACTACAGCCTGGGTGACAGAAGGAGATCCTGTCTCAAAAAAAAAAAAAACAACTACCATATGACCAAAACACCACAGAGCAAATTTTTAAAAGCAGGACTTAAAGAAAGAAAAGTTCATGCCCACTCAGAATAATAAACTTAAACGCTGTGTCCAAGGATAGAGCCAGCCCAGTGAGAGGAAGATTCTGGAATTTGTGAATTGTTTCCCTTGGCTCAGAAAAGCATAAGAACCAGCCAGGCATGGTGGCTCACACCTGTAATCCCAGCACTTAGGGAGGCCGAGGCAGGAGGATCACTTGGGGCCAGAAGTTCAAGACCAGCCTGGCCACCATGGCGAAACCCCATCTCTACAAAAAACACAAATATTAGCTGGACGTGGTGGCACGTGCCTTTAATCCCAGCTACTCAGGAGGCTGAGGCAGGAGAATCGCTTGAACCCAGGAGGCGGAAGTTGCAGTGAGCAGAGATTGTGTCATTGCACTCCAGCCTGGGTGACAGAGTGAGACTCCGTCTCAAAAAACAAAACAAGCCAGGCACAGTGGCTCACGCCTCTAATCCTAGCATTTTGGGAGGTCGAGGCGGGCAGATCACCTGAGGTCGGGAGTTCGAGACCAGCCTGACCAACATGGAAAAACCCCATCTCTACTAAAAATACAAAATTAGCCAGGCGTGATGGCGCATGCCTGTAATCCCAGCAACTTGTGAGGCTGAGGCAGGAGAACCGCTTGAACCCAGGAGGTCAAGGTTGCAGTGAGCCGAGATCACACCATTGCACTCAAGCCTGGGCAACAAGAGCGAAACTCCATCTCAAAAAAACAAAACAAAACAAACAAAAAACCAAAACGAAACAAAACAAAACAAAACAAGATTTTCAAGGTTGCTCTCTTAGAGGTCACTACTGAACTTCAGGTTTTCCTACACAATTTTTATATGCACCCCCAAGTGAATCTGGCAGAAAACCTGCAGGTGGTGAGGCACTGGGCCCGGGATGGGCCGGGCAGCCTGAACACTTGAGCGTCATAGGCGTCATAATCTACTTGGATGGGAAGGGCGTTCTCAGATTCTTTTGGACTCCCGAGAGCTGAAATACACAAATAATATAAATTGTCATCAAATACATTTCAAACACATGCCTGAGAGCTGAAATACACAAATAATATAAATTGTCATCCAAATACATTTCAAACAGAGGCCTTCAGATAATCTTCACCAAAATCTGCAAGGCACAGGTGATCACCCTCTCCCCTTGAAAAAATGGGATAACGACCTATTCATCAAGTAGAGACTAAATGACGTATATGTCAAAGCAACATAGAAATAGTATAGCACTAAATAAAGGCAAGCTGTGGGTAGCATTTCATCCTTTTGTGACCCTTCTTAAAATAAATCATCTTAATATGTTTAGTAGTTTAAAACTTTCTACGTGATCCCTACAAATGGCCTATGGAAAAGAAAAACAAGGTTTTTTCAATTTGCAGATGGCGGGAAAAAATACAAGGTAATTAAGGGATCCTGCATACATGACACAAAGGGAACTCAGGTCTCCTGACTTTTCCATAAACTTTTTATGGCACTTCACATAGTTTTGTTGTCATGGGTTAGCTGATGCTCTTTTTTTTTGAGACAGAGTCTTGCTCTGTCACCCAGCCTGGAGTGCAATGGCATGATCTCGGCTCACTGCAACCTCTGCCTCCCGGGTTCAAGTGATTCTCCTGCCTCAGCCTCCCGAGTAGCTGGGATTACAGGCACCCACCATCACACCCAGCTAATTTTTTTTGTATTTTTGTAGAGACAGGGTTTCACCATGTTGGCAAGGCTGGTCTTGAACTCCTGACCTCAGGTGATCCACCAACCTTGGCCTCCCAAAGTGCTGGGATTATAGGCGTGAGCCACTGCACCCAGCCAGCTGACTCTCTTTTTAAAAGCAAGAAAAAAAATCTCAAAAAATACTCACATGTATCACGGCCATTTTTTGCTTTCTCAGAGGCGGGCTGAAAAATTAAATAGATAATTAATCACTCCTTCCTTCGCTAGAAAAGAACTTATCACAAGGCACAGTATATATGTGCTGCTCCCAGGGAAGACAGCCTGTAACTGACAGAAAGGCAGGAGCTAACATCTGACACCTACCTACCACGGTCCTTTATTCCCGTATCACATCTTGTTGCCTCTCACAAACCTGTCCACTGGGGGAATGGACTGCCCCTTACAAGTGGGGATATTCAATTGCAGAGAGAATAAGGGACTTTACCCAAAGCCACACATTCAGCAGGTGGCAGAGCCAAAATTCAAGACCAGATCTTTAGATTCTTGGTCAATCCACTGTTGTGTTTGTCCCACCTGACCCAAATGCTGCATGCCTCCCCCTTCACTACGGTGCTGTCACCTGTCTGCCTACACCTACCAGAGCTGAGCACTCTGTATATCACCCAATTTGCTGAAATGAAGTACAAGGGTAGAGGAAAAAAAACTAATAGAGCTATCACTTTTTACATTTTCTTAAAGATCTTTTTCAGATTAAATAAATAAATAAAGGCCAGGCACAGTGGTTCACGCCTGTAATCCCAGCACCTTGGGAGCCCAAGGCAGGAGGATTGCTTGGGCCCAGGAGTTTGAGACTAGCCTGAGCAACACAGTAAGACCCCATCTCTATTTTTATATATATATATTTAATCTTTCAGGACCCTGAAAACTTTCACAACAATACTAACTCTTGCTTCTTTAAAATGATCATGGTAGCCGAGTACAAAGGCTCATGCCTGTAATCCCAGCACTTTGGGAAGCCGAGACAGGTAGATCACCTGAGGTTGTCAGGAGTACCAGCCTGGCCAACATGGTGAAACCCCATCTCTACTAAAAATACAAAAATTAGCTGGGCATGGTGGCTCACACCTGTAATCCCAGCACTTTGGGAGGCCAAGATGGATCACCTGAGGTCAGGAGTTCAAGACCAGCCTGGCCAACATGGTGAAACCTCGTCTCTACTAAAAACACAAAAAATTAGCTGGGCGTGGTGGCAGGCACCTGTAATCCCAGCTTCTCTGGAGGCTGAGGCAGGAGAATCACGTGAACCCAGGAGATGGAGGTTGCAGTGAGCCGAGATTGTGCCATTGCACTCCAGCCTGGGAGACAGAGTGAAACTCTATCTCAAAAAAATAAAAAATAATACAAAAATTAGCTGGACATGGTGGCGCACACCTGTAATCCCAGCTACTTGGGAGGCTGAGAGAGGAGAATCACTTGAACCCTGGAGGCAGAGGTTACAGTGAGCCAAGATCGCACCACTGCACTCCAGCCTGGGCCACAGAGAGAGAGACTCCATCTCAAAAAAAAAAAAAAAAAATTAGGCATGGTGGCATGTGCCTGTAGTCCTAGCTATTGGGGAGGCTGGGGCACGAAAACTGATTGAACCCAGAAGGCAGAGGTTGCAGTGAGCCGAGATCCCACCACTACACTGGGCATGACAGAGCGAGACTCTGTCTCAAAAAAAAAATAAAATAATCATGGTGCAGAGAAGTTTTTCCATGTTCTACTTTGCTGAGAATGCTTGTGGTGAAGGCAAGAGAGGCCCTTTCTATACAGAATCCCATCTCCTAGCACTTCACTATCTGACATGGCTTATGTCAGGAGTCCTCAGATTGCTCCAAATTAGTATTTCCCTTATTAGAAGAGTAACATTAACAGCCCTCCCCCCTAAAAAAAGAAAAGGGAATAAGAGGCCCTGACACACAGCCACAAATGGAGCAACCCTCAGTGAATTCAGCTCTACTAGGAAAGGGCAGAGGGGTGAGAGCACTCGGGTGTGGGGCCTGCAAACATAACAGCCTGCTTTTCTTCTCACAGTACATCAAAACCACTTTTTCGAGTTCTGGCCGGGTGCAGTGGCTCACGCCTATAATCCCAGCACTTTGGGAGGCTGAGGCGGGTGGGTCACTTGAAATCAAGAGTTTGAGACAACCCTGGCCAACATGTGAAACCCTGTCTCCACTAAAAATACAAAAATTAGGCTGGGTGTGGTGGCGGGTGCCTGTAATCCCAGCTACTCAGGAGGCTAGGGCACAGGAATTGCTTGAACCTGGGAGGCAGAAGTTGCAGTAAGCCAAGATCACGCCACTGCACTCCAGCTTGGGAGACAGAGCAAGATTCCATCTCAAAAAAACAAACAACGACAACAACAAACACTTGTTAAAATTCTTAAAACTTGCATTTTTATCAGTTGCAAATATATTCCATCAAGTGGATATTTCATATTTCAGCCATTGATCTATTGTTTTCAACTTCTCACAATTATAAATAAAACTAAACCCAGATGTATTTGCATATTATCACTTCAATTATTTCCTTACATCGCATGCCCCAAAATGGAAGTGCCTGGTTCAAATAGCATAAACATTTGCTCTCAATACACATGGCTGAAATGCTTTGCAAAAGTATGGTACACCAACCAGGTACTCAAGTGTCAATTTCACCACACTTTTTGTAGCATGTGATATAATTATTAATATATTTTAAACCTCTTTGGAAAGAAGAAAACAAGAATTCCCACTCTTGTTACAATTTTCATTTATTTTCTTGGTTTGTTTGTTTCCAGAGACAAGATCTCACTTAGCCACCCAGGTTAGCGTGCAATGGCGCAATTATAGCTCACCACAGCAATGGATTCCTGGGCTTGGGCAATCTTCCCGTTTTAGCCTCCCAAGTAGCTGGGACTACAGGTATGTGCCAATACACCTGGCTAATTCTTTTTTAGTTTTTACAGAAATGGGGTCTCACTATATTTGTTGCCCAGATCGGTCTCAAACTCCTGGCTTCAAACAATCCTCCTTCCTCAGCCACCCAAAGCACTGGGGTTACAGGCAAGAGCCACTGCACACAGCCAGAATTTTCATTTCTTTATACTAAGATCTGACCTTTTTATCATATTTCCCCTTTGCTGCAATGCATATCTGCATCTTTGTCTTTATCCCCACTGGTATCTGAGTGGCTTCAACATCTGAATAAAACAGTCAGGTCACAATAAAACGAACTCTTAAACAAACAAACAAAAAATGAACTCTTGGTCTTGGTCATATTTTTCTCAAAGGTATTTCACGCAGTCTGGCCTTGGCCTTGTTATTTATTTATCTAATGTATAAAGTTATAAAGTTTGGGGATGAATTTCTTAACCCTGTTCATGGCCATTGGGAAAGATGAGGGTACCTCAGGACTAAAATAACCCTATCAATGCGTGATAGTCCACAAAGGCTCTCTGCTGATTAATGAAATCTACCTTCTTGGCTGGGCAGAATGGCTCATGTCTGTAATCCCAACACTTTGGGAGGCTGAAACAGGAGGACTGATTGAGTCCAGGAGCTCAAGATAAGACTGGACCACATAATAAGACCCCGTCTTAACAAAAATAAAAACCTACCTTCTTTCCTGCCAGTTTTATTCGTGGGGTGAAACTATTACAAAAGAGCTGGCTTTTGGATGTGTAGAAACTGTAAAAGAAACAAACAGAGTCATTAATCTAAATTCCCTTTATTTTAAAACTCAAAACACAGTTAAAATACTAGGCATGGATCAGCCCTCCTGACATGGGCTTTGTTCTCAGCTTCACTAATCTTCCCAATTTTAACTTCTTTTACAAGAATTCACTACAAAACATTAGTTATGTTTTGTTTTTTGGTAGAGACAGAGTCTGGCTACACTGACCAAAATGGTTTCAAACTCCTGGCCTCAAGCATTCCTCCCACCTCAGCATCCCAAAGTGCTGGGATTACAGGCATGAGCCACTGTGACCGGCCTGAAATTGCTACTTTTGTAGGTCAAAAACAGTCTAATATCATGATATCAAATAGTATAAACTAATAGCTGCAGCTTTGCCATGAACTTGCTATTCAAGACCAGGTTGGCCAACACAGTGAAATCTCGTTTCTACTAAAAATACAAAAATTAGCCGGGCGTGGCGGCAGGCACCTGTAATCCCAACTACGCAGGAGGCTGAGGCAAGAGAATCACTTGAACCCGGGTGGTGGAGGTTGCAGTGAGCCAAGATCATGTCACTGCACTCCAGCCTGGGTGACAGAGTGAAACTCCGTCTTAAAAAAAAAAAAGAAAGAAAGAAAGACAACCCAGAGAAGGATAGAATGCTCTGGAAGCACTGAAGAAAAAGTGGCTGTTAGCTATCAGGGCAGCACAGGAGGAATTCATAAAAGAGAGATGCTGGAGTTGGATCTTGGAAGAAAATAGGCATTTTCAGGAGAAGGGTAGGTGGAATAAGATTAGTGTCATAGTTCAAAAAGATGAGGCACTGGCACTGGCAGAGGGATGAGAAAAGCCATCCCTGAGCTGGAATCAGCAGGATTCCATGTAAAGAGGCGCGGGGACTTCTCTAGAGCTGAAGGAGGTCAGGTACAAATGTTGGTCTTCTACAGTCTGTGGGAGTTGGGAATAGAAGGACATGGGAACTGCAGAGGAAGTAAGTCCTTCAAATTTTGTTTTTATTCTTTTTCACCATAGACTGTTCCTATGATACTGCTACTGCTTTGTGTGTACAGAGCTTTGAGCAAATGTTAGAACTTGGTTTCCACATTTTCTTAACAAAAGGTTTAGTGCCATAATAAGAACTTAACAGATTTAAAGAAAAATGGCAAGGAAGCTGTTCAAAACGCTTATCACCTACTATTGATCGAGATCGCACCCACCTGTGGTTTATCCAGTGAGGGATATTATAGTCATCGCCCAGACGAGAATCACGGGGAGCACTCCGATTATGGAGCTGCAAGGAGAAAAATGAGAGCACAGATAAGCTACAGAACAAGTAGGTTTTGGAACTGCTCTAACTTTTCTGTTTTTCAGGTTTTTAAAAAAAATTTTTTAGGGCTGGGCGCTGTGGGTCATGCCTGTAATCCCAGCAATTTGGGAGGCCAAGGCGGGCGGACCACCTGCAATCAGGTGTTCAAGACCAGCCTGGCCAACATGGTGAAACCCCGTCTCTACTAAAAATACAAAAATTAGCCTGGCATGGTGGCAGGCGCCTGTAATCATAGCTACTCGGGAGGCTGAGGCAGGAGAACTGATTGAACCCGGGAGGCAGAGGTTGCAGTGAGCCAACATCGCACCATTGCACTCCAGCCTGGAGGACAAGAACAAGACATCGTCTCAAAAATAATTTTTTTAGAGATAGAGTCTTGCTTTGCTGCCCAGGCTGGAGTGCAGTGGTTATTCATAGGCATGTTCATAGCAAACTATACCGAAACTCCTAGGCTTAAGGGATCTTCCCACTTCAGCCTCTCGAGTAAGTGGGACTATAAGTGCATGCCACAGCGCCTGGAATTTTTCTCTTTCTAACTATACTCCAACTGGCCTTTAGTAAACAAATCCGAAATCTAATTACCTTGAACAATGGGACAGCATGTAACGGTTGCTCTCCCATGCACACCAAATCCACACCAATTCCTAAAAAAAGAAAAGACAAAAAGAATTGTGGGGAGGGAATGGCAGAGACAAGTGTCCCTATCTATAAATCATGTTATTTAAATGGGTAGTAGGCAAAGCTAACTTACCATTGTATGATTTATAACCTCATAGTGCTGCCTATCCAACAAAGAAGTAAATACATTCATTTTGTCTGTTTCCTCTTTTCCAAGTGCCCTACTAACGTATCATTATTCGGTGCTTGACAATTAGCCTTTGACTGTCCTACAGGTCATGACTTGTTTAAAAAAAGACAACCAAACTTCCATGTTTAAATTTTTAAGGCCAGAAAGGAACAGTAACTTTGTAATATCTCAGTAAAAAGTAAAACAATCCACATCACTTAACAGAGCTTCTTTAGTGGCATCAGGATTTACTTTCCAAACTCCTTTTTTTTTTTGACAGTCTTGCTCTGCTGCCCAGGCTGACATGCAGTGGCGTGAGATCACGGCTCACTGCAACCTCCACCTTCTGGGTTCAAGCAATTCTACTGCCTCAGCGTCCCAACTCCATCTTGTTGATGAAACAAATCAAATTGGGGGGTGTGGGGCTGAGTTGGGGATACGAGGCACATCATGGAGGAAGGACTGGACTAGATGACCTGATAGTGCATCTGAAAATGGGCTGACAGCGGCTGGGTGTGGTGGCTCATGCCTGCAATCCTAGAACTTTGGGAGGCCAAGACGGGCGGATCACAAGGTCAGGAGATCGAGACCATCCTGGCTAACACGGAGAAGCTCCACCTCTACTAAAAATACAAAAAAAATTAGCCGGGCATGGTGGCGGATGCCTGTAGTCCCAGCTACTTGGGAGGCTGAGGCAGGAGAATAGTGTGAACCCAGGAGGCGGAGCTTGCAGTGAGCCAAGATCACACCACTGCACTCCAGCCTGGGAGACAGAGCGAGACTCCGTCTAAAAAAAAAAAGAAAGAAAGAAAATCGGCTGACAGCACATGGGTCCCTTGAAATCATCCCTCCAGGAAGGCTTCTCTAGTGCCAAATATGTTTGGGGAACTCAGAGTACCCTGACACAACCTTTAGAGAAAAACAACCTACACTAACATATTAAAAACTGAGGAAGACCTGTCATTATGGAACCTGCTTATCTTTGCATGACCCAGCATTTCCCAAACTGATTTGACCATGAAATTTTAGCACCTGACACCTATTGACATCCACAGACGTTGTGACACACAGAACACTATGTAGAGCTCCTCACACTCTAAGAAGTCAGTGAAGCTCACAGTTCTAAGGGGAAATCAGGCTAGGAACATGTGGAGACAGGGCACAAACCAGAGAGCATTACCATTATCTATCATCCGCTGCTTGGTCAGGATCATGAGTAGGCGGTCCACTTCAAAGACACCCACCCCGGGCGTGATCACCACTGACATCTGCCCAGTTCGGTCAAAGTTGCGGTTGATGTAGTGCTTATCAAACACTAGAAATAAAACAAAAATTCCACAATAATGATGTTACAGCTTTTCAGAACCCTGTCACAGACAAGCATCTCTACACTCTCAGAGCATTCTGCCCATATTTTTATTATAGCAACTGCCACATTCTAGTTAAATGTATACGCATCTGTCTTTTCTCTTCCATATTAAGAACTACTTGACCACAGGAATAAGTCGCTGTCACCTTTGTTAATACCCCTCATTGACACCTCATACTTGCCCTGTGCAGCCTTAAATGCTCAAATTTCATGCTGTGAGGGCTGGGTATGGTGGCTCATGCCTGAAATCCCAGCACTTTGGGAGGCCAAAGCAGGCGGATCACTTGAAATCAGGAGTTTGAGACCAGCCTGGCCAACATGGTGAAACTCCATCTCTACCAAAAAATACAAAAATTAGCCAGGCATGGTGATGTGCACCTGTAATCCCAGCTATGTGGGAGGCTGAGATGGGAGAATCACTTGAACCCAGGAGGCAGAGGCGCAGTGAGCCAAGATCGTGCCACTGCATTCCAGCCTGGGCAACAGAGCAAGAACCTGTCTAAAAAAAAAAAAAAAAAAAAAAAATTCATGCTGTTAATTTAAACCTTCCATAAATGAATCTGTAGTAAAACTTTGATTATATTATTTTATATATTATATATTATTTTAATATTATATATATTAATGATATAATTAGATTATATTAGTATTAATTTAAGACACTATTTAAAAGAGTAGACCAAAATCTTGGGATGACTTTGTAAATCTGGCAAGTCACTTTTTATTTCTAGCCTCTATGATTCTTACTATGAAAAATCAGTGATATTCCAATATGACAAGAAGATTTACTAATAGAAGACATTATGCTCTAGAATTCCCTGAGCACCTGGGTACAGACATGTGGGAAGATGATATACATAGTGATGTGTACGCGTATCATCACTTCCACCTCTGGCCAGTGGCAGATGGACACCTAACTGGAGCTGAACAGATCAGACCCTCTCTACCAGGAATGTAAATTCTGAACAGAGAGCAGAGACAGGGTTGCTGGAAGCTGAAATATGGCTCTCATAATTCCTGCTGCTATGGTTCCCAGAGCCACTAAGGTTCTTCGACATGGTGTTTGAGCCTTTCCTGGCTGCTCCATTTAAGCCTCTGTATCCTTACAGTAAATTTCGCTTTTTGTTTAAACTAAATCAGTACATCTCTGTTATTTGCAAACAATATATTTCGGCTAACACATAAATGCCGGGATAATCATACCACACTGCTAACAATGGTTCCCCTTAAAAAAGGACTCACACTGGGGAGCAGGAGAAGGGTATCATTTTTTACTTGATATACCTCTCCATATTCAAATTCTAGTAACATGGTTACTTTTACAATTTTATTTATTATTTATTTATTCATTTATTTGAGACAGTCTAACTCCATCACCCAGGCTGGAATGCAGTGGCACAATCTCAGCTCACTGCAACCTCCACCTCCCAGGTTTAAGTGATTTTCCTGCCTCAGCCTCCCAAGTAGCTGGTATGACAGGCATGCACCACCATGCCTGGCAAGTTTTTTATGTATTTTTAGTAAAGATGGGGTTTCGCCATGTTGGCCAGGCTGCTCTTGAGCTCCTGACCTCAGGTGATCCCGCTGCCTAAGCCTCCGAAAGTGCTGGTATTACAGGTGTCAGCCACTGCAGCCAGCCTATTTATTTAAAAAAAAAAAAAAGAATTTTTTTTTGAGATAGTGTCTTTTTCTATCAACCAGGTTGGAGTGCAGCGGCGTGATCTCTGCTCGCCACAACCTCCACCTCCCAGGTTCAAGTGATTCTCCTGTCTCAGCCTCCTGAGTAGCTGAGATTACAGGTGTGCGCCACCATGCTGGCTAATTTTTGTATTTTTAGTAGAGACAGGGTTTCACCATGTTGCCCAGGCTGGTCTTGAACTCCTGACCTCAAGTGATCTGTCCGCCTCAACCTCCCAAAGTGCTGGGATTATGGGTGTGAGCCACCATACCTGGCTATTTTTGTAATTTTTTTTAAAGTAGATTTTAATTTTTTAAAATTTTTATTTTAATTCTTATTTTTTAAGTAGATTTTTAAAATATTACCTAGAAGCAGTTGAGGGATGGGGTGGAAAATAATAACACAGTTCGAGTAAGTCAAAGAACCCAAGGAAGATCCTTCCAGTTCCTGACCATGAGAAGCAAATGACTACCAAATTAACTGGCCAACAGAAGACCCAAGAGCTAAATGTTGGTCATTACAACCATCCAATGAGAAGCTATTGCTTTAAATTAATTTTGGGGGTAGGTGAGTGGGGGCATCATCACCTAGGTCTGGGTCTGCAGGCATTCATAAAGAGACATGCATAGCTGTCAGAGGCCTTTGAACCAGAGCAACTCCATCTTGAATAGGGGCTGGGTAAAATGAGGCTCACACCTGCTAGTCTGCATTCCTAGGAGGTTAGACATTCTTAGTCACAGGGTGTTTACAGTTAAGGGAACAGGATAATAATGTTTCTCCAACAGACTCAGGACTTAATAGACCCAGGAAATGCCCTGATGTCCCAATATCTTAAAAACAAAAGCATTCTTAGTTTAGGAGTAAGTTTTGCAGCCAGGTGCAGTGGCTCACACCAGAAATCCCAGCACTTTGGGAGGCCAAGGTGGGCGGATCACGAGGTCAGGAGATCGAGACCATCCTGACCAACATGGTACAACCCTGTCTCTACTAAAAACACAAAAATTAGCTGGGTGTGGTGGCACGTGCCTGTGATCCCAGCTACTTGGGAGGCTGAGGCAGGAGAATCGCTTGAACCTGGGAGTTGCACTGAGCAGGGAGATCATGCCATTGCACTCTAGCCTAGCGACAGAGTAAGACTCTGTCTCAAAAAAAAAAAAAAAAAAAAAAAAAAAGGCCGGGCATGGTGGCTCATGCCTGTAATCCCAACACTTTGGGAGGCCAAGGTAGGTGGATCACGAGGTCAGGAGCTCGAGACCAGCCTGGCCAATACGGTGAAACCTCATCTCTACTAAAAACACAAAAATTAGCCGGGCATGGTGGTGCACACCTGTAGTCCCAGCTGCTCAGGAGGCTGAGGGCTACTCAGGAGGCTGAGGCAGGAGAATCACTTGAACCTGGGAGGCGGAGGTTGCAGTGAGTCAAGATTGCACCACTACATTCCAGCCTGGATGACAAAGCGACACTCCATCCCAGAAAAAAAAAAAAAAAAATAGCATTAAGAGAAATACCTAATGCAGATGATGGGTTGATAGGTGCAGCAAACCACCATGGCACACGTATATCTATGTAACAAACCTGCACATTCTGCACGTGTATCCCAGAATTTAAAGTATATTTAAAAAAAAAAAAGGCCAGGTGCTGTGGCTCATGCCTATAATCCCAACACTTTGGGAGGCTGAGGCAGGTGGATCATGAGGTCAGGAGATCGAGACCATGCTGGCCAACATGGTGAAACCCCGTGTCTCCTAAAAATATACAAAATTAGCTGGGCGTGGTGATGCGCACCTGTAATCCCAGATACTCAGGAGGCTGAGGCAGGAGAATCGCCTGAACCCAGGAGTGGGAGGTTTCAGTGAGCCAAGATCGCATCACTGCACTCCAGCCTGGCGACAGAGCAAGACTCCATCTCAAAAAAAAAAAAAAAAAGTAAGTTTGCTTTAAAGATAATAATATAGATTCTTGAGAAAGACAGCAGTTACACAAAGATGAACAATCCTTTGTCATGAGTGCTTGCGGCAGAGCATCTCTCCCCCATGACTTTTTGCTTTGTTATATATAAACAACCACTGTACCTAAGGTGGACGTGTTCCTCCTCTTGCTTTCGGGAATGCCCTGCTCTTTCTATGGAGTAGCTATTCTTTTATTCCTTTACTTTCTTAATATACTTGCTTTCACTTTATTCTGTGGACTGGTCCTGAATTCTTTCTTCTGCAAGATCCAAGAACCTTCTCTTAGGGTCTGGATCAGGACACCTTTCCGGTAACATAGCCATGTGGTAGGCAAGATGCTGGCTCATGGCCGGCATCCTTACTCACCATTGAATGACAGATTGATGGCCTCCAGGTAGTTTCCTTGTGCTGAGGTAGAATTATCTCCTTGAGGAAAGCCCTCTGAAGCAAAATATGCAAGAGAAAGAAAAACATCTCATGAAACATGAACTTTTTTTTTTAATTTTAAACGAAGCCTTGCTGTGTCACCCAGGCTGGAGTGGAGCAGCACAATCTTGGCTCACTGCAACCTCCACCTCCCAGGTTCAAGTGATTCTCCTGCCTCAGCCTCCCGAGTAGCTGGGACTACAGGCGCACGCCACCACACAAGGCTAATTTTTGTATTTTTAGTAGAGACAGGGTTTCACCATATTGGTCAGGCTGGTCTTGAACTCCTGACCTCGTGATCCGCCTGCCTTGTGCTGGGATTACAGGCATGAGACATCACACCTGGCTGAAAGATGAACTCTTAAATAAGTGGCAGCTGAGCATGGTGGCTCATGCCTGTAATCCCAGCACTTTGGAAGGTGGAGGCAGGAAGATCGCTTAAGACGAGGAGTTTGAAACAAGCCTGGTCAACACAGCGAGACTCTTGTCTCTACAAAAAAATGAAAAAATTATCTGGGCATGGTAGTGCATGCCTGTCGTCCTAGCTACCCGGGAGGCTGAGGCAGGAGGATTGCTTGAGCCCCAGTGGTTTAAAGTTACAGTATAATTGCTCCACTCCAGTCCAGCCTGGGTGACAGAGTGAGACTCTGTCTCAAAAAAAAAAAAAAGGAAGGCATCTGGCTCCACAAGGCCTCACTCCCTGTATTAGGGACACTGTTGAACTTACGGCATACGAAATGTACAATTGGATCCAACTGGAAACAGAACCCTGACCAAAAGCAGAAACTACACACGGCAATGGGAGAGAAACAAGCACACATCTCTTCTCTGTCTCCCAGACCCCTCCTACACTTCCTTTCCCCGCCGCACCATCTATTACATGAATGCAGTACCTGCCTGTTCCAGTCGCACCAACACTGGATACTGGATGAAGAGTTTTTTAATGGTTACGAGAAGTGAAGTCCATTCTTCTCTTCTCTCATTCTGCACCACCACTCTGAAAAGAGTATTATCATAAAATGGATATTGAGCAGCTGATATGGTTTGGCTCTGTGTCCCCTCCCAAATTTCATCTCAAATTGTAATACCCATGTGTCGAGGGAGGAACCTGGTGGGAGGTGACTGGATCATGGGGGTGGTTTCCTCCATGCTGTTCTTGTGATAGTGAGGGAGTTCTCACGATATCTGATGGTTTAAAAGGGGCAGTTTCCCCTGAGCTCGCTCTTTCTCCTGCTTCACCATGGTAAGACATGCCTTGCTTCCCCTTCGCCTTCCACCAGGATTGTAAGTTTCCAGAGGCCTCCTGAGCCATGCAGAACCATGAGTCAATTAAACCTTTTTTCTTTATAAATTACCCAGTCTTGGGTATGTCTTTACAGCAGTGAGAAAATGGACTAATACAGCAACTTTACATACAGAACATCAGGTTCTTTACAAGGTTTCAAAAAGAGTGTAATTGGAGTACAGTGAGCTGAGATAACCCCACTGCACTCCAGCCTTGGTGACAGAGCAAGACTCTGTCTCAAAAAAAAAAAAGATTCAGTGAGCTTGTTTTTCTTCCAATCCAATTGGGAAAGAAGCATTAAAAAAAAAAAAAAAAGAGGCTGGGCATGGTAGCTCATACTTGTAATTCCAGTACTTTGGGAGGCCCAGGCAGGTGGATAAGGTGGTCAGGAGTTCAAGACCAGCCTGGCCAACACGGTGAAACCCCATCTCTACTAAAAATACAAAAATTAGCTGGGTGTGGTGGCAGGCACCTGTAATCCCAGCTACTTGGAAGGCTGAGGCAGGAGAATTGCTTGAACCCAGGAGGCGGAGGTTTCAGTGAGCCGAGATCGAGCCACTGCACTCCAGCCTGGGAGAAAGAGCGAGACTCCATCTCAAAAAAAAAAAGAGCACTCACTGTTGGTGAGAACACAGAAATTGCTGCTAGGAAAACAAGATCTTCTACTTTAATGGTTTTGGAGCATACACTGGCTGTACAAATAGAAAGCCTTGAAAACACAGACTATCCTTTGACCTAATGGCTCCATTTCTGGCAATTTATCATAAAAACTAAGGATATGCTTAAAAACCTATCTGTAAAAATGTTCACTGGCAATACTGTTGAGAATAGTGAAAAGCTGGAAGTCACCTCAATTTTCAACAATAGTAACCCAATGTAATTTCTATGTAGAAATAAAAAATGATACAGTGGGCCAGGCAGTGGCTAACGCCTGTAATCCCAGCACTCTGGGAGGCCTAAGCAGGCAGATCATGAGGTCAGGAGATAGAGACCATTCTGGCTAACACGGTGAAACCCTGTCTCCACTAAAAAATACAAAAAAAATTAGCCGGGTGTGGTGGCAGGCACCTGTAGTCCCAGATACTCAGGAGGCTGAGGCAGGAGAATGGCGTGAACCTGGGAGGCAGAGCTTGCAGTGAGCCAAGATCCCACCACTGCACTCCAGCCTGGGCGACAGAGCGAGACTTCGCCTCAAAAAAAAAAAAAAAAAAAGATACTGTGGAGCAGTGTGTTTAACATGGATTGGCATTTGTGATACAGTAAATAGAAAATGAAGGTTTATGGCCGGGCACAGTGGCTCACGCCTGTAATCCCAGCACTTGGAGAGGCCAAGGTGGGGGGATCACCTGAGGTCGGGAGTTTGAGATCAGACTGACCAATATGGAGAAACCCCATCTCTACTAAAAATACAAAATCAGCCAGGTGTGGTGGCACATGCCTGTAATCCCAGCTACTCGAGAGGCTGAGGCAAGAGAATCGCTTGCATCCGGGAGGCGGAGGTTGCAGTGAGCTGAGATCGTGTCATTGCACTCCAGACTGGGCAACAAGAGCGAAACTCCGACTCAAAAAAAAAAAAAGGAAATGAAAGAAAATGAAGGTTTAAAACATATAAAAAGAGAACCATATGGGTCAGGCGTGGTGGCTCATGCCAGCATTTTGGGAGGCCAAGGCAGGCGGATCACCTGAGGTCAGGAGTTCGAGACCAGCCTGGCCAACATGGTGAAACCCTGTCTCTACTAAAAATACAAAAATTAACCAGGCATGGTGGCGGGTGCCTGTCACACCAGCTACTCAGGAGGCTGAGGCAGGAGAATTGCTTGAACCTGGAAGGCGGAGTTTGCAGTGAGTTGAGATTGCACCACTGCACTCCAGCCTGGGTGACAGTGAGACACTGTCTCAAAAAGAAATAAAAACAATAAAACATGTAAAAAAATCACATGGAGGCCCAGCGCAGTGGCTCATGCCTGTAATCCCAGCACTTTAGGTGGCTGAGGGCGGTGGATCACCTGAGGTCAGGAGTTCAAGACCAGCCTGGCCAAGATGGTGAAACCCCGTCTCTACTAAAAATAAAAAAATTAGCCAGGTGTGATGGCAGATGCCTGCAATCCCAGCTACTCCGGAGGCTGAGGCAGGGAATTGCTTGTACTAGGGAGGCGGAAGTTGCAGTGAGCTGAGATCACGCTAGTGCACTCCAGCCTGGGCAACAGAGTGATACTCCATCTCAAAAAAAAAAAAAAAAAAAAAAATCACATGGAATGTGTGATCACATCTCTATGAAAACTAATTTTTCTCCTAAATACAGATAATAGGGGTTGATTCACCAAAGTAATGAAGACTATATTTGGTAGATGGAATTGAGTGTGCTTTGAATTCCTCTCTACTAAACTATACTGGTGTGCTTTTGTTGTTGTTGTTTTGTTTTTTTTGAGACAGGGTCTCACTATGTCACCCAGGCTAAAGTGCAGTGGCATGATCTTGGCTCACTGCAGCCTCAACTTCCCAGGCTCAAGTGATCCTCCCACCTCAGCCTCCCAAATAGCTGAAACTACAGGCGCGCACCACTGCACCCAGCTAAGTTATGGTATTTTTTTGTAGAGACAGGGTTTTCCATGGTGCACTGGCTGGTTTCAAACTCCTGAGCTCAGGCAATGTGCCTGGCTTGGCCTCTCAAAGTGCTGGGATTATAGGTATCAGCCACCACGCCTGGCCTATTTTGTGATTTTCCTAAAATGAACCTGTATTGTTTTTGCAGTAAGAAAAAGATAACCAGTTTCTCTCAATCTAAAAAACGTTGAGGATGACTTTTTAATGACATAAACTTTCATATATTAAAAATATATAGTCATATACACCTATAAATCTACATTCATAATTCATATATTCATATTCATGCTTTATATAGTATTTTGTATAACTGATCATGCTCAAATTAATTCATATTCATTATACAGATAAAACTGCATATACTGTTAAGTCAGAAGAGCTCTCATGGTTCCTGGAATTCACTGAATTAGAGGAATGCAGAATTCATCTGCATAAGGGGATGAGTGGAGGTGTCAGTACAGCAGATGGCCCATCACTCTCATAAAATTCTCCTAGGGGTACAGGATCCAACAAAAGATCAACAAATAATTTAAAGTATAATCTGTATGAGGTTGAGGAATACAGTGGTCAAAAAGCATCGACTCTGAACTAGATTGACTGTGTCAGGTCCATGCTCCACCACTTAATATTGTGTGGACTTTGGATAAGTTACTGAAACTCTGTGTCCAAATTTCCACATCTGTAAAATGGGGTAACAGTATCTATCCCACAGGGATGCTGTGATATTTAAATAAATCAAGTCATGTAAAGTGCTTAGAAGAGTAACCCATTCATGCTAAGTCCCGTAAAAACAGTAACTATTACTATCTGATAATCATCTCAATTAGATAGTGGTGTCAGCCAGGCATGGTGGCTCCCGCCTGTAATCCCAGCATTTTGGGAGGCCGAGGTGGGTGGATCAGCTGAGGTCAGGATTTGAGACCAGGCTGGCCAACATGGCGAACCCCATCTCTACTAAAAATACAAAAAAATTAGCCAGGCGTGGTCACGGGCGCCTGTAGTCCCAGCTACTCGGGAGGCTGAGAAACGAGAATCCCTTGAACCTGGGAGGCGGAGTTTGCAGTCAGCTTACATGACCACTGCACTCCAGCCTGGGCGAGAGAGTGAAATTGTGTCTCAAAAAATAATAATAATAATAATAACGTTAAACATGATCATGATATTGTGGTCAGATATAAAAATGCCTTTTTTGAATATGTATAGAAATAAAATATTACAATATTGATAATTTACTTAGTCAATGGCACTGAAAAAAACAGATGAATCAAATATGACAAAATAATAACTGTTAAATTCAGGTATTGGGTATACGGGCTCATTATATTATTTGCTCTTCTTCTCTGAATGTTGAAATTTTTCACAATAAAACATTTAGAAGGTCTAAATGCAACATGATATCTTGGAGACGGCAAGTACGAGTGCTAAAATCTAAAAAACATCTGAATTTCCTTAATAGTAATGTACCAATGTTAACCTAGTTTTGACAAATGTAACTTGGTTATGAAATGTTAATATTAGAGGAAACAGAGCAAAGACCATGCAGGAACTGTGTTATCTTTGAAACTTCTCTGTAAATCTAAAATCATTACAATTACAAAATTAAAAGGTTTATTTATTTATTTATTTATTTATTTATTTTGGAGACAGGGTCTCACTCTCTCCCAGGTTGGTGTGCAGTGGTGTGATCTCAGCTCACTGCAACCTCCACCTCCCAGGCTCAAGTGATCCTCCCACCTCAGCCTCCCAAGTAGCTGGGACCACAAGAGGCGAATTTTTTGTATTTTTGGTAGAGACAGGGTTTCGCCATGTTGCCCAGGCTGACTTATTTTTAAGTTAGGAAAGAAACAACTAATAAATAAATAAAAAGTATAGCAAAGCACCCAAACATACTTGTAAAAGTCTTCATAGAATCTCCCCTTGTGATCCTGTCGAATTGAGGCTCGGTTTATTTCAGGAAATTCATCTGAAATAGAGAAAACGGAGTATGTAGTTCAGGCTGAGAAGAGAAATTCAGTTTTGTCAGCTTCCTCTTCTGGGTTAAAGATTTGCATCACAAAAAAATAAAGATAACTGTCTTTTTTTTTTTTTTTTTTTTTTTTTTTGAGACAAGGTCTCACTCTGTCACCCAGACTGGAGTGCAGTGGTAAGATCTCAGCTCACTGCAACCTCTACCTCCTGAATTCAAGCGACTCTCCTTTCTCAGCCTCCTGGGTAGCTGGGACTACAGGTGCATGCCACCACACCTGGCTAATTTTTGTATTTTTAGTAGAGATGGGGTTTCACCATGTTGGCCAGGCTGGTTTTCAACTCCTGACCTCAGGTGATCCGCCCACCTCAGCCTCCCAAAGTCGTGGGATTACAGGCGTGAGCCACTGCACCCAGCCAACTGTCTATCTATTAAGTTGGTTTTAAGATGAATCACAGCCCACAGACCTCTTGCATCCACTAACGGACTGTGCTACTTTCCCTTTTACACTGTCCCCATAACAGAAAAGATGGGAAGGGTGGAAAAGTGCAACGAGGAAAAAAATGAAAGGAAATGGCTGGGGTGGGGTTGGGGGAAGCTTAACAAAAACATAACTGTAGGAGAGAAATAGTTACTCACCAACAGATTTTGCATCATAGAAAGTTCTAGAAAACAGGACCACTGTCACTTCATGACTACAGTTCTTCTCCTAAGCATGAGTAGAGAACAACAGGGTTGAAGTTTGTTTCATTTACTTCACTATGAAGCAGACTGCATGCATATAATATTCTTTTTTTTTTTTTTTTTTTTTTTTTTGAGACGGAGTCTTACTCTGCCACCAGGCTGGAGTGCAGTGGCGCTATCTTGGCTCACTGCAACCTCCGCCTCCTGGGTTCAAGCAATTCTCCTGCCTCAGCCTCCCAAGTAGCTGGGACTACAGACGCACGCCACCATGCCCAGCTAATTTTTGTATTTTTAGTAGAGATGCGGTTTCACCATGTTGGCCAAGATGGTCTCGATCTCCTGACCTCGTGATCCGCCTGCCTTGGCCTCCCAAAGTGCTGGGATTACAGGTGTGAGCCACTGTGCCCAGCCCTTTTTTTTTTTTTTTTTTGAGGCAGTCTCATTCAGTTGCCCAGGCTGGAGTGCAGTGGCACAATCTCGGCTCATTGCAGCCTCCACCTCCCAGGTTCAAGCAATTCTCCTGCCTCAGCCTCCAGAGTAGCTAGGATTACAGGTGGGCCACCTGGGTAATTTTTGTATTTTTAGTAGAGACAGGGTTTCACCATGTTGGCCAGGCTGGTCTCGAACTCATGGCCTCAAGTGATCTGCTTGCCTCGGCCTCCCAAAGTGCTGGGATTACAGGTGTGAGGCCCAGCTGCACATAATATTCTTAATCCAGGTGGCTCAGCAGCAGTGCACAGTATTGAATAGCTTCAGGTAATTATAGGCTGCAGTGCAGGGGACAGAGCACTGCTGGGAGTCAGAAGCCCTAGATGGAGTCCTGAACCTGAAACTTGCCACTATGTGACTTTAGGAAAGTTATCTAAAGTGCCAGGAATGTGGAAAGTGATTGGAAAACTGCAAATCAGCATTAAGTAATGGTGACTGTCTCCCAGTTCCCGAGTAGCTGGACTACAGACACGCGTCACCAGGCCCAGATAATTTTTGCATTTTTTATAAAGACAGGGTTTCGGCTGGGCGTGGTGGCTCAAACCTGCAATCCCGGTGCTTTGGGAGGCTGAGGCGGGTGGATCACCTGAGGTCAGGAGTTCGAGACCAGCCTGGCCAACATGGCGAAACTCCATCTCTACTAAAAGTAGGAAAATTACCCAGGCAATGTGGCACGCGCCTGAAATTGCAGCTACTCAGGAGGCTGAGGTAGGATAATCACTTGAACCCAGGGGGTGGAGACTGCAGTGAGCCAAGACTGTGCCATTGCACTCCAGCCTGGGCGACGGAGCGAGACTCCGTCTCAAAAAAAAAAAAAAAAAGAAAAAAAAAAAGAGAGATAGGGTTTCATCATAATCCCCAGGCTGGGCTCAAGTGATCCACTTGCCTTGGCAAAGTGCTGGGATTACAGGCGTGAGCCACAATGCCAGGCCTACAGTGTTTTTTAATTTCTGCAGAATTGTGGTCTAGGGAACAAGAACAGCACCCATGGTGGTGGATTTAAGAATCAAAGGCACTCCCACACCCTACTAGTCTCATAGGATGAGGGTGGGGTTTGCTCTGGACTCAGCGGTATAAGCCAAGGCAAAGAACTACCTTTGGACAGGGACAGGGACTAATGAGAATAAACATTTCCATGGAGTCTGGAGATCAATATCCTAGAAGTAGGGTGTTTACAGATGAACATCAAAAGTGGCTTGCAACAGTTAGCTAGCAAGCGCAGTTTCAGTTCCTCCTGGGTCTCTGAAGACAACAGCCTATACTGACCAACCCCATCTTTATCTTAAGTATGCTTAGTGACTACAGAATTCAACACTCACTATATAAGGCACATAATATAATGTACATTTCATGGATGTATCTCAAGTGGACAGAAATTCCTAAATACAAGCCACAGTACCCAGAGCAGAGTGCTAGGAAACAGCAGACCTTCACTGACTGCCAATTAATTCACGGGAGTCCAAGAGCTCCAAAATCAGCACCCTTATCTAATTTTAGTGCAAGTGATATACAGGAAAACACAACGGGCTCACAATGGGCTGATATGGGCATGGAGTGTCTCAACTCATAAGTGATGTGGTGAGAGGGTCTATTATTATCTCCATTTTGCAGCTGAAGAAATGGAGCCTCAGAGACTAATCCTTGGAGACCAAAAAGCTAATCAGCCAGGCATGGTGGCCTGCGCCTGTAGTCCCAACTACTGAGGAGGATGAAGTGACAAGATCCCTGGAGCCCAGGAGTTCAAGACCAGCCTAAGCAGCATAGCAAGACTCTGTCTCTTAATCAAAAAAGAAAAAAAAAAAAGCAAGCTGATGAGATCATTTAAAACCCAGTCTGCCTTAATCCAAACTCTACTCTTTTACACTACATAATGTGACTTCAAATACTTTTTCATCAAAATGTTTTCATGTGAAATCAAGGTGAGATAATCGAATGAAATAATTTTTTAATTGTGGCAAAATACATATAAATATTGCCATCGTGACATTTAATACATTCACAATGTTGTATAACTATCACCATTATTTGGATCCAAAACATTTTCATCACCCCAACAGGAAATCCCAAACTGATGAAACAGTCACTCCCCACCCTCAGTCCCTGGCAACCACTAATCTCTATATTATATATTTACCTATTCTGGACATTTCATATAAATAAGATCTTATGATTTGTATTTGATCCACTATGTCTGGCTTCTCTCACTTAACATGTGTTCAAGATTCATCTATGCTGTAGCATGTGTTAGTACTTCATTCTTCTTTATAGCAGAATAATACTACATTGTATGGATATACATTTTATTTATCTATGCTTTAGCTGACAGACATTTGTTATTTGTGTTATCCTACTTTTTAGCTAATATGAATAATGCTGTCAAGAATACGGGCTAGGCCCATAATCCGGCACTTTGGGAGGCCAAGGTGGGGAGATCACTTAAGGCCAGGAGTTCGAGACCAGCCTGGCCAACATGGTGAAACCACATCACTACTAAAAATACAAAAATTAGCAGGGTAAGGTGGCGCACACCTATAATCCCAGCTACTTGGCAGGCTGAGGGACGAGAATCGCTTGTACCTGGGAGGTGGAAGTTGCAGTGAGCCATGTTCGAGATCGCAGCACTGCACTCCAGTCTGGGCGACAGAGCGAGACTGTCTCTAAAAATACATAAATAAATAAAATAAAGAATATGGGCCCAGTCGCGGAGGCTCACGTCTGTAATCCCAGCACTTTGGGAGGCCAAGGCGGGCGGATCACCTGAGGTCAGAAGTTCGAGACCACCCTGGCCAACATGGTGAAACCCCGTCTCTACTAAAAACACAAAAAAATTAGATGGGCGTGGTGGTGGGCGCCTGTAATCTCAGCTATTCGGGAGGCTGAAGCAGGAGAACTGCTTGAACCCGGGAGGCAGAGGTTGCAGTGGGCCGAGATCACACCATTGTACTCCAGCCTGGGCAACAAGAGCAAAACTCTGTCTCAAAAAAAAATATGGGCTAGGCACTGTAGCTCACGTCTGTAATCTCAGCACATTGGGAGGCCAAGGTGGGAAGATCACTTAAGCTCAGGAGTTCGAGATCAGCCTGGATAACATAGTGAGACCTAGTTTCCACCAAAAAAAAAAAAAAAATTGCCCGGGCATAGTGGCACATGCCTGTAGTCCTAGCTACTATAGGAGGCTGAGGAGGGAGGATGGCTTGAGCCCAGGCGATCAAGGCTGCAGTGAGCTATGATTGCGCCACTGCACTCTAGCCTGGGCAACATGGCGAGACTCTGTCTCAAAAAAAAAAAAAAAAAAAAAAAAAAATACAGTCATCCTAGTGGGTGTGAAGTGGCATTTCATTGTGGTATTAGGTTGCATTTTCCTAATGACTAATGATCTTGAGCATCTTTTCATGTACTTGTTGGACATTCATGTATATTCTTTAGAGAAATGTTGATTCAAGTCCTTTGCCCATTTGTTTTTTTAATTATTTTAATTATTTTTTAATTTTTATGGGTACATAGTAGGTGTTTAATATCTGTGGGGTACATGAGATGTTTTGATACAGGCATGTAATGTGAAATAATCACATCATGGTGAATGGGGCAGCCTTTGCCCATTTGTCAATTAGGGTTTTTTCTTTTCGTTCTTGAGTTACAGAAGTTCTACATATTTTCTGGATAACAGACTTTTATCAGAAAATAATTTGCAAATAATATTTTCTCCCATTCTGTGGGTTGTCTTCTTTTTTCTTCTTCTTTTTTTTTTTTTTTTAAAGAGACAGGGTCTTGCTCTGTCCTATCACCCAGGTTGGAGTGCAGTGGTACAATCATACTGTAACCTCAAATTCCTGTGATCAAGGGATCCTCTTGCCTCAGCCTCTTGAGTAGCTGAGACTAGAGGCATTTGCCAATGCAGCCAGCTAATTTTTTTCTATTTTTATTTTTGTAGAGACAGGGTCTCGTTTTGTTGTCTGGGTTACTCGAACTTTTGGCTTCACACGATTCTCCCACCTCAGCCTCCCAAAGTGCTGGGATTAAAGGTGTGAGCCAGCAGGTCTGGCCTCTTTACTTTCTTGACAATGTCCGTTGATGCACAAAAGTTTTTAATTTTGAAGTCTGATTCAACTGCTTTTAATTTGGATGCCGTGCTTTTGGTGTTATATCTAAGAAACCACTGCCAAATTCAAGGTTATATGAATTTCCCAGCCAGGCATGGTGGTTCTATCTGTAATCCTAGCAATTTGGGAGGCCAAGGTGGGTGACCGCTTGAGCTCAGGGGTTTGAGACCAGCCTGGGCAACATGGCAAAACCCCATCTCTATAAAAAAACACAAAAAATTAGCTAGGTGTGGTAGCAAATGCCTGTAGTCTCAGCTACTAAGGCTAAGGCAGGAGAATCACTTGAGCTCAGGAGGTCAAAGCTGTAGTGAGCCATGATCGCTCCACTGCACTCCAGCCTGGGTGACAGTGAGACCCTGTCTCAAAAAAAAAAATTATAAAACTTTTTAGGCTAGGCACGGTGGCTCACATCTGTAATCCCAACACTTTGGGAGGCCGAGGCAGGCGGATCACCTGAGGTTAGGAGTTCAAGACCAGCCTGGCCAACATGGTAAAACCCTGTCTCTAGTAAAAATACAAAAAATTAGCTGGGCATGGTAGCGGGCACCTGTAATCCCAGCTACTCAGGAGGGTGAGGCAGGAGAACTGAACAGGTGGAGAATTGAGGCAGGTGGGAGAATCACTTGAAAACAAAAGTTAAAGAGTAGCCCGGGCAACAAAACGAGACCCTGTCTCTACAAAAATAAAAACAAAAATTTTAGCTGGCTGTGTTGGCAAATGCCTATAGTCCCAACCACTCAAGAAGCTGAGGCAAGAGGATCCCTTGAGCACAGGAATTTCAGGTTACAGTATGATTGTACCACTGCACTCCAACCTGGGTGACAGGACAGAGCAAAACCCTGTCTCTTAAAAAAAAATTCAGTTCTTTTTTTTAGGTTGTTTGAACCTGGGAGGCGGAGGTTGCAGTGAGCTGAGATTGCACCACTGCACTCCAGCCTGGGCAACAGAGTGAGACTCCATCTCAAAAAGAATAAATAAATAAAATAAAAATAAAACTTTTAAACATAAGGAAAATTTTTTCCCTTTTTTTTTTTTTTTTTTTTTAGCTACCACATCCAGCTAACTTTTTGTATTTTTTGTGGAGACAAAGTTTTCCATATTGCTGGGGCTGGTCTGCAATTCCAGGGCTCATGCAATCTGCCCACCTCCGCCTCCCATGAGCCACCACACCTGGCTCAGTTTTATAATTTTAGCTCTTTATTTATTTATTTATGAGATGGAGTCTCACTCTGTTGCCCAGGCTGGAGTACGGTGGCATAATCTTGGCTCACTGCAACCTCCGCCTCCCAGGTTCAAGCGATTCTCCTGTCTCAGCCTCCTGAGTAGTGGGATTACAGGCACCAACCACCACGCCTGGCTAATTTTTGTATTTTTAGTAGAGACAGGGTTTCATGACGTTGGCCAGACTGGTCTCAAACTCCTGATCCGCCCACCTCGGCCTCCCAAAGTGCTGAGATTACAGGTATGAGCCACCGCACCCAGATGACTTTAGCTCTTATATTTAAGTCTTTGATTCACTTTGGTTACATTTCATATATGATTTGAGGTGAGGGTCCAAATTCGTTCTTTTCCATATGGACATTCAGTTGTTCCAGAATAATTTGTTGAAGAGAATATTCTTTCTCTCATTAAATGAACTTGATGCCCTTGTCTAAAATCAACTGACCATAGATGTACGGGTTGGTTTCAATTCAATTCCATTGATCTATATATCTATCCTTATGCCAATATCACACTATTCTGATGACTGAGGGTTTTAGTAAGTTTTGAAATTAGGAAGTGAGAGTCCTCCAACTTCGTTCCCCTTTTACAAGATTGTTTTAGCTATTCAGGATCCCTTGCAATTCCACATAAATTTTAGGATCAGAAAAAAAAAAAAAAGGCACTGGTATTTTGATAGGAACTGCATTAACCTGTAAACTGCTTTGGGTAGTATTGCCAAATTCACAATATTAAGTCTTTCAACCTGTGAACACAGGTTATCTTACTATTTACTTAGGTCTTCATTAACTCCTTTCACAGTGTTTTATAGATTCTAGTGGACCAGTCTTACAGCTCCTAGGGTAAAGTATTCTAAGTATTTTATTCTTTCAGATTGTTTATTGCTGGTATATAGAAATACAATTGATTTTGTGTGTTGATTGGGTATCCTGAAACTTTGCTGAATGCATTAGCTCTAATACTTACTTTGTGGAGTTTGAGGATTTTCTACATATAGGATCATATTATCTGTGAATAGAAATAGTTGTACTTCTTTTTCGATTTGGATGCCTTTTATTTCTTTTGCTTGCCTAGGTGGTCTGTCTAGAACTTCTAGTTAGTATAATGTTGAATATCAGTGGCAAAAGCAAGCATACTTACCTTGTTACTGATCTTGGGGGAAAGTTTTCAGTCTTTTACCATTGAGTGTGATGTTAGCTTTGTGTTTTTCATAAATTCTCATAAATTGAGATTATTAGGGTAATTTAAATCTGGAGTCCGGGTTTTACCTAAAATAGCTCAATTTAGGGCAATTTAATAAAAACAGTGCATTTTAAAAATCTGATTGAGTAATGTTTACATAATGAGACTTAGTGTGTAAGAAGAAATGTACCTTCCACTTGGTAAATAGATCAGCAAGGAAACCATTCACAGCTTTCTCAAAATACAAATCCCCTGAAAAGAAACAATGAAAAAAGGATGAGAACATGAGAACAATCTTTATTTCTTGCTTGCAATTTCTTCTCTAATTTCTTCTCTAAGTAAATTCTTCTCTAAGCAATTCCCTAAGTAAACTGCTTGCAACTTCTTCTATAAGAAAGGGGACCAAAAAGAAGGTGTATTTTGTACATCTTTTTTTTTTTTTTTTGAGATGGGAGTCTCACTTTGTCTCCCAGGCTGGAATGCAGTGGCATGATACTGGCTCACTGCCGCCCAGGTTCAAGCGATTCTCCTGCCTCAGCATCCTGAGTAGCTGGGATTACAGGCGCCCACCACCAAGCCCAGCTAATTTTTGTATTTTTAGTAGGTATGGGGTTTCCCGATGTTGGTCAGGCTGGTCTCCAACTCCTGACCTCAGGTGATCCGCCCACCTCAGCCTCCCAAAGTGCTAGGATTACAGGCATGAACCGCTGTGCCCGGCCTGTTTTGTACATCTTAAAACAAGATCATAAAAGCCAGATGTACAAAGTGGTTTCATTCTCAAACTAAGAAGCCAAGTTTATTTATTTCTTTATTTTTTGAAGCCAAATTTAATATCTGCCTCACTACTAAGAGGCTATGACTTCAACATACAATGCAGTTTGAAAAAAATTTGATTATTGAAAAAAGTAGTGTATCTTTAGAACGAGAAAACACTCTAACCTCCAAATATGATTATTCTCACAATGATATTTAAAGTTTGTTAGAAGATGATGTGGGGGACCCTGGGCATTCATGAATTAGCATTTGCAGTTCCAGAAAATTCTCCCCTTAGCAGTTACAATCAGCACATAGACACAGTACCATAAATATCAAAATCCCACATTTCACAGCTCATCTGAATAAATATGTAAACCATAGCCGACGTAGAACGAAACACCACCTGAAATAAAAACACAATTGTATTAAAAAGCAATGCCATATACAGTTTCAGTTCTATAAGATGAAAAAGTTCTGAAGATCTGCTTCACAACAGTGTAAATGTTCTTAACACTATTGAACTATACACTTAAAAATGGTTAAGATGGTAAATTTTATGATAGGCTTTTTAACCACAATTTTTTTTAAAGCAATGATAAAAGAATCTTGCAATGTTGGACTTCTTTTTTTCCTTTGTTTTGAGACAGGATCTCACTCTTGCCACCCAAGGCTGGAGTGCAGTGACACAATCACAGCTCACTGCAGCCTCAAACTCCCAGGCTCCAGGATGAAACGATCTTCCCACTTCAGCCTCTCGAGTAGCTGGAACTATGGGAGTGCACCACCAGGCCACAAAATTTTTGTATTTTTTTGTAGAGAGGGGGTCTCCCTACGTTGCCCAGAGTGGTTTCAAACTCCTGGGCTCAAGCAATCCTCACACCGTGTCCGGAGGTGGTTCCTTCAGGTGGGTTCTTGGTCTCACTGACTTCAAGAATGAAGCTGCGGACCTTCATGGTGAGTGTTAACAGCTGTTAAAGGTGGCACGGACCACCTTTGCTCACCAACAGTGAGCAGCAGCAAGATATATTGTGAAGAGCAAAAGAACAAGGCTTCCATGTGGAAGGGGACCTGGGCTGCCGCTGCTGGCTGGGGTGGCCAGCTTTTATTCCCTTATTTGTCCACACCCATGTCCTGCTGATTGGTCCATTTTACAGAGCGCTGATTGTTCCATTTTACAGAGTGCTGATTGGTGCATTTACAATCCTTTAGCTAGACACAGAGCGCTGATTGGTGCATTTACAATCCTCTAGCTAGACAGAAAAGTTCTCCAAGTCCCCACTCGACCCAGGAAGTCCAGCTGGCTTCACCTCTCACCACCTTTGCCTCCTGAAGTGTTGGGAATAAGCATGAGCCACAGCTCGGGGCCATGACTTGGGACTTCTAAAAGCAAACTTCATCCGAGCATTCTTTGTTTCATTTAAATAGTTACTGAGCTCTTAACTCTGAGCCCTGTTTCAGAGACAGTGAAAATAAGATCTGGTCCCTGCCCTCCAGGAGCTTACAGTACAAGATAAAAACATGCAGAACACTGCAACATATACAAAGGTTCTATGAAGATTTACACATGAAATGCAGGAGAAAGGGCAGTGAATCTACCTAGGAAAGTTATGGAAATCTCATTACGGAGACAGAACTTGGGCTAAGATGTGCCAGGTGATGAGTTGCCAGTCTAATAAATTATAATTCACATTGTACTTCCACTACACTCAGACTGCCTCAAGGAAAAGCAAAAGTGGTTTTCTAGCCCTGTGTGCTATACCACAGAGCCTTTGCTCCACAAGGCTCTAAAGAAGTTTAGAGGGAACGTAAAATGTAAATCTCTTAACACTCCTTTAGTTCATCAGAGACCTGCTCCTTAAAGACTGAAGCTCCTGGCCGGGCACGATGGCTGACACCCATAATCCCAGCACTTTGGGAGGCTGAGGCAGGTGGATCACCTGAGGTCAGGAACTGGAGACCAGCCTGGCCAACATGGTGAAACCCCATCTCTACTAAAATACAAAAATTAGCCAGGCATGGTGGTGAGCGCCTATAATCCCAGCTACTGGGGAGGCTGAGGCAGGACAATCGCTTGAATCCGGGAGGCTGAGGATGCAGTGAGCCAAGATCATACCACTGCACTCCAGCCTGGGCAACAGAGTGAGACTCCACCTCAAAAAAAAAAAAAAAAATTTTTTTCAGAGAAATGAACAGAAATATAGGCTATATTGTCTAAATGTTATCATAATAAATATGCAAGGTTCTTAATAATTAAAGTTGTTTTTGTCTGTCTGTTCATAGAGACAAGGTCTCACTCTGTCTCCCAGGTAGGAGTGCAGTGGCACCATCATAGCTCACTGCAACATCAAACTCCTGGGCTCAAGTGATCATCCTGCCTTAGCCTCCCAAGTAGCTGAGATTATAGGTGTGGGCCACTACCCCTGGCTAAATTTTTCTTTTTAGAGATGGGGTCTCCCTCTGTTGCCCTGGCTGGTCTCAATCTCCTGGGCTCAAGCAATCCCCCCCACCTCGGCCTCTCAAAGTCCTGGGATTACAGGCGTGAGCCACCATGTTCAGCTCCATCTTATTTAATATTTTTTTGGCCAGGTGTGGTGGCTCATGCCTGTAATCCCAACATTTTGGGAGGCTGATGTGGGCAGATCACTTGAAGTCAGGAGTTCGAGACCAGCCTGGGCAACATGGTGAAACCCCATCTCTACTAAAAATATAAAAAGCCAGGTGTGGTGGCAAATGCCTGTAGTCCCAGCTACTCAGGAGGCTGAGGCAAGAGAATCGCTTGAACCCCGGGGGCGGAGGTTGTAGTGAGCCGAGATCACGCCACTGCACTCCAGCCTAGGCAACACAGTGAGACTCCATCTCAATAAAAAATAATAATAAATAAATAAATAAACTCATGTTTTTCTGATTGGTGTGGTGGCATGTGCCTATAATCCCAGATACTGAAAAGGACTGCTGGAGCCCAGGAAGGACCCCTGAATAACACAAGACCCCAATCTCAAAAATAATTAATTTAATGGAAAACCTGAAAGTCTTGTTTCTCTAATCAGATAATAAATTCTTTGTTTTTTTTTTTTTGTTTGTTTGTTTGTTTTTGAGACCGAGTTTCGCTCTTGTTGCCCAGGCTGGAGTGCAATGGCGCGATCTTGGTTCACCGCAACCTCTGCCTCCCGGGTTCAAGAGATTCTCTTGCCTCAGCCTCCCAAGTAGCTGGGATTACAGGCATGCACCACCAAGCCCAGTTAATTTTGTATGTTTAGTAGAGACGGGGTTTCTCCATATTGGTCAGGTTGGTCTCAAACTCCCGACATCAGGTGAACCACCTGCCTCGGCCTCCCAAGTGCTGGGATTACAGGCGTGAGCCACCGCGCCCGGCCCAGATGATGAATTCTTGAGGCAGGGGAGCCTATCTAATATTTCACTCCACCAACATTTGAGAGACTACTAGGTGCCAGTAGACATGCCAGAGAACAGTGGCATATAAAGGTTAAAGATGCAGTCCTTGCTCTGAGGGCGCACACAGTCCAGTGACATGGCACACAAGCAAGCGCACCTACTGCAGTGTGGGAACTGCTAATGAGTGCACAGATCCAGGGTGCCATGGAGGTACTTCCAGCCTGGTGGACCAGGAAGGCTCTCCAGAAGCAGGGAATCCTGAGACTAGAGCTGAGACCTGGATGAGTGGCTTGGGAAGGGGAAAGGCAGGGTCTAGGCACCCTAGGATACAGAGGGCAGCATGTGCGAAGACATGGTGGCAAGAGAGAAGGTGGCATGTTGGGGAACAATGAGTGGTTTGCGTGGCGAGGACACTGGGGGGCAGTGGGGAACAACACATGGGAGAAGTGATTACGAGAACTCCAGACTCAACTGCCTCCAGTGATTCCTCCACTCAGGCATCCAAAAGACTTTTCCCAAACAGAGCTTCCTAATCTCCCCAACCTGCTTCTTCCCTGTCTTCCCCATCTCATAAATGGCACCACCATCTACCTAGCTCTTCAGTACTTCTCTTTCCTTCACTCCTCACATCCAATCTATGAGCAAGTTCTGTGGACCCTATCCAGAAATGTGTCTCATACCTGCCCACATCCTTCCATTGTTATAGCTCTCACCTTAGTCCACACCACCATTTTCTTGCTAGACTATAGCGGGCCTCCTAACTCACTTATCTGCTTTTACTCTTGACCCTGGAAATAACTCTCTATACCAGAGCCAGAAGGGCTGCAGCACTTAATGCTAAATGCCTATCCATTCTTCCCTTCTTCTGATTCTGTTCTGGAAGGCAAGAGACCCAACTGAAAGACAAAACTTCCCAGCCTCCTCAGCAGCTACAAGTGACTAAAATCTGGCCATCATGATTTAAATGGAAGTGTTGTGTCCATAAAGGAAGTTGACTTGGTGGGAAGGTACACCTCTCTTGTCTCTCTTCCCTTCCTCTCTCCTCTGCCTGGAATATGGAGGTGATTATATCAGCTCTTGGTGGATCATGGAATTCCTACCCTGAGGATAGCAGAACAATAAGACACAAGGACGCCAATAATAGTGACACTATTGTACCAACCATGAATTACATATCCATGATTTCTTTTACATGACAGAGAAAAGTTGACCTTTGGCCATTAGAGCCGGTGATTTGGAGGGTTTTATTCAACAAAACACAACTGAATGAGTAGTGATCTCTTAAAAGCATAATTCAAGTATCACTCTCCCACTTAAAACCCATCAATGGATTCTAATTCTCCTTAGAAACACTCTAAACTGGTTCTAACCACCTTGAAGGCCCTGCATGAACTGGCTGGAACCTGCCTATCTCCTCACCAACATCATTCTCCCTACCTGTCTGCAATACTTCCACCACACTGACTTCTGAAAATTGTTTCCTTTGCCTGGAATACTCTTCACCCCAGCATTTATAAACTAGCTAAGTCTCACTTTTCAGACACCTTTGCAGGAAAGCAAAGGCACGATTATGGTGAGCACTCTGGCAATTAATTGGGTCATGTGTATACACACACGCACAAACATACATGTATTTACAAACAATGTAAATACATCCAATGTAAACAATAGGAAATTACAAAAATGAAGTTCATGGAGTGGTTCCCTCTAAGGATACACTGGGTCTCAACCAAGGGTGATTTTACCTTTCAGAGGACATTTGGCATGTCTGGAGAAATTTCTGGCTGTCATAACTTGTAGATTTGTAGGGTGAAGGGTGGTAGGTGATACTGGCATCTAGTGAGTAGAGGCCAGGGATGCTGCTAACCATCCCACAATGCACAAGACAACCCCCACAACATATTAACATTTTGGGCCAGATAACTCTTTGCTCTGGAGGCCTGCTCTGGACGTGTAGCATGTTTAGCAGGATTCTCACTAGATGCCAATGGCACAACCCCTCAGTTGTGACAACCAAATATGTCTTTAGACATTGTCAAAAGACCCCTGAAGGGAGCAAAATCACCCCTGGTTGAAAACCACTGCTCTCAGAGAAGGCATGGAGATGGGAACGAGAAAAGGTAGACATACAGTTTTACCAGCATGGGTAACGTTCATTGGCAAAGGTCTCTCTTCATGTTTATGACATGATCTTCCATGGGGCTTAACTTTTGCTATGTATGAGTGGGCATGGCATAATGCAGGCCAGATACTCTAGCTCTCTGTTTGACATTAAACAGACCCCTTCAGAAGAAAATGAAGATCAACTCCAAACTGGAGAAATCCAACTGTAAAACAGTTTCAGGAGAACTTGATATTACATGTGGGCAAAGAGTAGCTGTCAAGAGCTTAGCAGATTTTTGTTTGTTTGTGTTTTTTGTTTGTTTTTGAGATGGGGTCTTGCTCTGTTGCCCAGGCTGGAGTGCAGTGATGCAATCATGACCCACTGCAGCTTCGAACTCCTAGGATCCCGGTAATTCTTCCACCTCAGCTTCCTGAATAGCTGGGACCAGAGGTACCCATCACCATGCCTGGCTAATTTTTGTACAGGTGGGTCTCTCCATGTTGCCCAGGCTTGTCTTGAACTCCTGGGATAAAGCAATCTGCCCACCTTGGTGTCCTGCCCCGCCCTTGTTTTATTTTTGATTTTAGGACTTAGCCATAATAGTATGGAGAGATAAAACCAAAAAAGCATTTTATAAATCTTACCCTGGTATCTTCACTGATGTAGCCACACATGACCTTCTCATTCTTAACCCACAGTTCACCAGCCTGTGCTCTGAAAGAATACACACACAAGTTATTACAAGTCTTACATGAAACCAATACATGCCTGGTGCAATAGCTCACGCCTGTAATCCCAGCACTTTGGGAAGCCAAGGCGGGCGAATTACCTGAGGTCAGGACTTCGAGACCAGCCTGGACAACATGGTGAAACCCCATCTATACTAAAAATCCAAAATTTAGCCGGGCATGGTGACACATGCCTGTAGTCCCAGCTACTCAGGAGGCTAAGGCAGGAGAACTGCTTGAAGTCACGAGGCAGAGGTTGTAGTGAGCCAACATCATGCCACTGCACTCCATCCTAGGCAACAGAGTGAGATTCCGTCTCAAAAAATAAAAATAAAACAAACCAAAAAGAAATAGGGGCAACTTCAGGTGGCTCTGCTACTTATACTCAAATGACCTAACTGGTTACAGATTTCCAGAGAACTCCGTGAACAGATTATCCAATATAAAGAACTCTCATACTATACTGAATATGAACAGGGGCTCTTAATCTGGGAGTCCACATATAGGTCTAAAGAAGGGCTTCTTGGCCAGGCATGGTGGCTCACGCCTGTAATCCCAGCACTTTGGGAGGCCACGGAGGGCAGATCACGAGGTCAGGAGTTCGAGATCAGCCTGACCAACATGGTGAAATGATGTCTCTACTAAAAAAAAAAAAAATTAGCTGGGCGTGGTGGCATGCGCCTGTAATCTCAGCTACTCAGGACGCTGAGGCAGGAGAATCACTTGAACCCAGGAGGTGGAAGTTGCAGTGAGCTGAGATCGTGCCACTGCACTCCAGCCTGGGCGACAGAGCGAGACTGTCTCAAAAAAAAAAAAAAAACTTAGGGCCAGGTGCAGTGGTTCATGCCTATAATCCCAACACGTTGAGAGGCTGAGGCGGGTGAATCACCTGAGGTCAGGAGTTCGAGACCACCCTGGCCAACACAGCGAAACCCCATCCCTACTAAAAATACAAAAATTAGCTGGGCATGGTGGCACCTATAGACCCAGCTACTTAGGGAGGCTTAGGCAGGAGAACCGTTTGAACCCAGGAGGCGGAGGTTTCAGTGAGCCGAGATCGCACCACTGCACTCCAGCCTGGGCAACAGAGCGAGACTCTGTCTCAAAAAAAAAAATAATAATAATTAACTAATAGCAACTTGGTATTACATTTTTGGGAATGATGTTTTTTCCTCCATGCATTTTTGAGGGCAAGAAGTAGATAGTACGAGAATGGGTGCAGTGGCTCATGCCTGTAATCCCAGCACTTTGGGAGGCCAAGGCAGGTGGATCACCTGAGGTCAGGAGTTCAAGACCAGCCTGGCCAATATGGTGAAACCCCCTCTCTACTAAAAATACAAAAAATTAAATGGGCATGGTGGTGGGTACCTATAATCTCAGCTTCTCAGGAAGCTGAGGCAGAATCACTTGAACCCCGGAGGCAGAGATTGCAGTAAGCCAAGATCGTGTTATTGCACTCCAGCCTGGGCAACAAGAGCACAACTCAGCCTCAAAAAAAAAAAAAAAAAAAAAGTGAATAGTACAGTAGAAAAAGTAAAGCATGGCTTTCAGACTTGACTGGCCTGAAGAGAAACTGGTCTAGGCAAGAATCCCAGCTGAGTGACACTTACTACGTGAATGGCCATAGTAAATTCATGAGGTTCAGTGGCATTATCTTTAAAAATGAGACAATGGGCCGGGCACGGTGACTCACACCTATAATCACAACACTTTGGAAGGCCAAGGTTGGCAGATTGCTTGAGCCCAGGAGCTTGAGACCAGCCTAGGTAGCATAGTGAGACCCTGTCGCTATAAAAAATACAAAAAATTAGGCAGGTATGGTGGCACATGCTGTAGTCCCAGCTACCTAGGAGGCTGAGGTAGGAGGATCGCTTGGGCCTCACAGGTCAAGGCTGTAGTGAGCTGTGATCGCACCACTGCACTCCAGTCTGGGCAACAGAGTGAGACTATTGCAAAAAACAAAACAAAAAAACAAACAAAACAAAAGAGACAATGAAGCCTACGCCTTACAGAGCTGCTTTCACTTTTTTTTTTTTTTTTTTTTGAGATGTAGTCTCGCTCTGTCGCCCAGTCTGGAGTGCAGTGGTGCGATCTCAGCTCACTGCAACCTCTGACTCCCTGGTTCAAGCGATTCTCCTGCCTCAGCCTCCCGAGTAGCTGGGATTACAGGCACGTGCCACCATGCCCAGCTAATTTTTTATATTTTTAGTAGAGATGAGGTTTCACCATGTTGGCCAGGCTGGTCTCGAACTCCTGACCTTGTGATCCGCCCGCCTTGGCCTCCCAAACTGCTGGGTTTACAGGTGTGAGCCACTGTGCCCAGCCTTCTACAGAGCTGTTTTCAAATTAAACCAGATAATGTGGGGAAACTGTTCAGGACAGTGTGAGGATAGGGCGTGCTCAATTAGTTTACTAGCAAGAACTAGAACTACAGCAGGTATTAACACAAAATGCTATCCTGGAGAGAAAGTGGTAGCTATTAGCTGAGCACCGTGTAATCAATCATCCCTCAACCAACCACCTCAAGCCCTTATCTTCTACCAATTTCACTCTTTCTCCCAACCTGCCTCACCTAAGCAATCAGTCCTCATAAAAAAGGAAGACAAAGGCCAGGTGCAGTGGCTCACATCTGTAATCCCAACACTTTGGGAGGCCGAGGTGGGTGGATCATGAAGTCAGGAGTTTGACACCAGCCTGGCCAACATGGTGAAACCCTGTCTTTACTAAAAACACAAAAATTAGCCAGGCGTGGTGGCAGGTGCCTGTAATCCCAGCTACTCGGGAGGCTGAGGCAGGAGAATTGCTTGAACCTGGGAGGCAGAGGTTGCAATGAGCTCAGATCGCACCATTGCACTCCAGCCTGGGCAACAAGAGTAAAACTCTGTCTCAAAAAAAAAAAAGGAAGGAAGACAAAATCAGATAAAAGCCAGGAAAATGCTGTGTACCATGAGTCATAGTTCAGGCTACCTAGGAAATGCTGGACAATCAATCAATCCCTCTGGGTCTACCCCATGCCAAAATGAAGAAGGCTGGACCAGGCCCATGGCTTATACCAAGTGGGATGCTTTTTCATACTCCTTTGCCCAGTTACGTCTGTGAATGAACAAGTGTCACAAGCCTGACCTCAGAAGAGACTTGTATTTCTTTAATATTGTAATAAGGAGGTCAGGCACGGTGGCTCATGCCTGTAATCCTAGCACCTTGGGAGGCCGAGGTGGGTGGATCACGAGGTCAAGAGATCGAGACCATCCTGGCCAACGTGGTAAAACCCCGTATCTACTATCTTGCTATGTTGCCCAGGGTGGCCTCAAATTCTTGGGCTTGAGCGATTCTCCCACCTCAGACTCCCAAGTAGGTGAAACTACAGGCACAAGCAGCCACACCCAGCTAATTTTTTTGTATTTTCAGTAAAGACGGGGTTTCACCATGTTGTCTAGGCTGGTCTTGAACTCCCAGACTCAAGCAATCTGCCCACTTAAGCCTCTCAAAGTGCTGGGATTACAGGCATGAGCCACCGCACCCAGCCAGCTCTGCTTATAATCGTCAGAACCCCACATTCACAGGACCTCTAAAACAAGCTTGGTGTGGCTGGAGGTGGTGGCTCACGCCTGTAATCCCATCACTTTGGGAGGCCGAGGCAGGCAGATTACCTGAGGTCGGGAGTTCAAGACCAGCCTGAAAAACATGGTGAAACCCCATCTCTACTAAAAACACAAAATTAGCCAGGCATGGTGGCGGGTGCCTGTGATCCCAGCTACTTGAGAGGCTGAGGCAGGAGAATTGCTTGAGCCTGGGAGGCAGAGGTTGCAGAGCCAAGATCACGCCACTGCACTGCAGCCTAGGTGACAGAGTGAGACTCGTCTCAAAAAAAAAAAAAAAAGTTACAATGTGATCCAACAGGCTAGGGTTTAAGGTCATTATTTTTTAAAAGCAAAATGTTAGTCAACAGGAGACAAGATTTTGCTACTATATATATATTTTTTGTTGTTGTTGTTGTTTTGTTTTGTTTTTTTGAGACAGGGTTTCGTTCTTGTTGCCCAGGGTGGAGTGCAATGGCACGATCTCGGCTCACCACAACCTCTGCCTCCCAGGTTCAAGCAATTCTCCTGCCTCAGCCTCCCGAGTAGCTGGGATTACAGGAGCCTGCCATCATGCTCAGCTAATTTTGTATTTTTAGTAGAGACAGGGTTTCACCATGTTCGCCAGGCTGGTCATGAACCCCTGACCTCAGGTAATCCACCCACCTTGGCCTCCCAAAGTGCTGGGATTATAGGCGTGAGCCACCACACCCGGCTCATGTGTTCTTAACTATGTAACTATTACCAGATTGAAAGTTAAATTGCAGGGAAATTATTTGACCATTTGTAATGACTTTAACTATACAAATGACTATACTTTATTTTTCTCACAGGAGGCCCACAGCATCTTTTTTCTCAGGCATTCACGAAGTCAGCAAAAGAAAGTAACCTTTGATCCAGTGTAGAAATACTGTAAGTCTTCTGGAGAAAAGATAGAAGACTGTAGTTTACATTTAACCAAGCCTGAGCAAAATATCAGGACAGATCTTTAAAAGTCTAAAAGAGGCCAGCTGCGGTGGCTCATACCTGTAATCCCAGCACTCTAGGGGGCTGAGCCAAGAGGATCGTTTGAGCCCAGGAGTTGGAAACCAGCCTGAGGAACATAGTGAGACCCTGTCTCTACCATAATGAAACAAAAACAAAAACAAAAAAAGAGCCAGGCATGCTGGCACGCACTTGTAGTCCTAGCTACTCAGGAGGCTGAGGTGGGAGTATTGCTTGGGCCTAGGAGGTTGAGGCTGTAGTGAGGCATGATGGCACAACTGCATTCCAGCCTGGGCGATAGAGGAAGCCCATCTCAGAAATAAATATATAAAAATAAAGTTAAAAAGTGACAATCTGTCAGGGTTTTCTTTTCTCCATCTAGAACTGTGTGTATGAGGGTATTTACATAGAGAAACAAAGAACTTAAAAAAGAAAGAGATCAGCCAGGCGTGGTGACTTACATCTGTAATCTCATCACTTTTGGAGGCCAACGTGTGCAGATCACTTGAGGCCAGGAGTTCGACACCAGCCTGGCCAACATGGCAAGACCCCGTGTCTACTAAAAAAACAAAAATTAGCTGGGCATAGTGGTGCATTCCTGTAGTCCCAGCTATTCAGGAGGCTGAGGTAGGAGAATCACTTGAAACCAGGAGGCAGAGGTTGCAGTGGGGAGATATCATGCTACTACACTCCAGCCTAGGCAACAGAGAAAGACTCTGTCTCAGAAATAATATATATAATATATATATAATTTAAAAATAAAAGAGGAAGCAATAGAAAAAAAAATGAGAGAGATCTGAATAGGTTTCCAAACCGAGGCTGGCAAACTACATACAGCCTTCAAGCCAATTCTCGCCTATCTCCTGTTTTCATATGGCCCATAGCTAAGAATGGCTGTTACATTTTTAAATGGTCGAAACACACAGAATATGCAATAGACCTGAGATCTATTGCTACTCACAAAGTCTAAAATATTTATTAACTGGTCCTTGACAGAAGAATATTCTAAACCAACTACTCCATTTTGCAGATGTGAAGACTAAGGGTTTACCGAAGTTACCCAACATCACTCGAACCACTAATCACAGTGATGGCTAAACACTGGCTCTGCAGATACAGATCCAGGCTTCCTGACCCTGGATACCCATCCAGTAGAGATCTGCTGATACTGGAGGCATAAACCTTGGTTACATTTTTTGTGCTGCTTGAGATTTAGTCACTTCTTGGGTTGTGCTTTAGTTGCTTGGATGTTTTAAAGAACACTGACCCGCTAACAAATTTTTGTTTGTTTTCAAAGATGGGATCTCACTCTGTTGCCCAGGCTGGAGTACAATAATGCAATAATAGCTCACTGCAGCATCGACCTGTGCTTCAGTGCTCCTCCAACCTGTTTCCCAAGTACCTCAAACTAGAGGAGCCCTGACACCAACCCCCGTTCTTTTTTTTATTGTTATTTTAGCCAGAGTCTGACTCTGTCACCCAGGCTAGAAGGCAGCAGAATGATCAAGGCTCACTACAGCCTTGAACCTCCCTGGATTTAGGTGATCCTTCCACCTCAGCCTCCCAAGTAACTGGGACTACAAGCGCCACCATGACCAGCTAATTTTTGTATTTTTTTGTAGGGATGGGGTTTCAGCATATTGCCAGGTTGGTCTTGAACTCCCAGGCTCAAGCAAACTACCCACCTCAGCCTTCCAAAGTGCTGGGATTAGAGGCATGAGCCACTGCACCTAGTCCTAACTGTGTGTGTGTGTGTGTGTGTGTGTGTGTGTGTGTGTGTGTGTGTGTGTGTGTGTGTGTGTGTGTGACGGAGTCTTGCTCTGTCACCAGGCTAGAGTGCAGTGGTGTGATCTCGGCTCACTGCAACCTCTGACTCCCTGGTTCAAGCGATTCTCCTGCCTCAGCCTCCCGAGTAGCTGGGACTACAGGCACAGGCCACCACACCCAGCTGATTTTTGTATTTTTAGTAGAGATGGGGTTTCACCATGTTACCCAGGATGGTCTCGATCTCCTGATCTCGTGATCTGCCTGCCTCAGTCTCCCAAAGTGCTGGGATTACAGGTGTGAGCCAACCAGCAATTTTTTAAAAATTACTATTTCTGTAGAGATGAGGTCTTACTATGTTGTCCAGGCTGGTTTGAACTCCTGGCCTCAAGTGATCCTCACGCCATAGCCATTTTACCTGGCTCCCCACAACAAGTTTCAAAATACCCTTTTTGGGAGAAAAAATGAAGCCTCTATCCTTTCTTTCTTTTTAGGATCAGTATTTCATTCTGGTCAAATAGACCTAGTTGATGATGAAAAATTATTTACAGAAGGATTCTGGCTAATAAATGTAGAAGGGATGACTTAATTAAAAAATCACCAAAAAAAGGAAAGAAAATCACCATCTTACAACAATCCTCAATGGATGAAACCATTAGGTGAAAAGTTGATGGGGGCCGCGTGCGGTGGCTCAACGCCTATAATCCCAGTGCTTTGGGAGGCTGAGGAGGCGGGATCACCTGAGATCAGGAGTTTGAGACCAGCCTGGCCAACATGGTGAAACCCCATCTCCACTGAAAATACAAAAATTAGCCGGGCATGGTGGCACGTGCCTGTAGTTCAGGAGGCCCAGGCAGAATAATTGCTTGAACCTGGGAGGCAGAGGTTGCAGTGAGACAAGATCACACCACTGCACTCCAGCCTGGGCGACAGAGTGAGACTTTGTCTCAAAAAAAAAAAAAAAAAAGAAAAGTAGATGGGGATCTTTATAACGAGGGACTACACTGCACCCTGTGACCCCACTGAACAAGCTTAGGATCACCACAAGTCAGTTAACAAGACAAATATGCCGGGTGAGGTAGCTCACACCTGTAATCCCAGCACTTTGGGAGTCGAAGGTGGGCAGATCACGAGGTCAGGAGTTCGAGACCAGCCTGACCAACATGGTGAAACTCCGTCTCTACTAAAAATACAAAAAAAAAAAAAAAAAATTAGCTACGTGTGGTGGTGGGTAACTGTAATTCCAGCAACTCACGAGGCTGAGGCAGGATAATTGCTTGAAATCAGGAGGTAGAGGCTGCAGTCAGCCAAGGTCCCACCACTGCACTCCAGCCTGGGTGACAGAGCAAGACTCTGTCTCAGAAAAAAAAAAACAAAAAAACAAGACATAAATATGATTGTGTGTACACAGTAAATTTCAGGAAAGAAACAAGTTGTTTCTGGGGAGAGGAATGTATATTTCATGAGATACCTTTCTGAATTATTTGAATGCTTAATTATGTGCATGTTGTACTTTTTTTTTTTTTGAGACAGTCTCACTCTGTCACCCAGGCTGCAGTGCAGTGGCATGATAATGTCTCACTGCAGCCCCAACCTCCCAGGGCTCAGGCGATCCTCCCACCTCAGCCTCCTGAGTAGCTGGGACTACAGTCGCACACCACCATGCCTGGCTGTTTTTTTTTTTTTTCTCTTTTTTTTAGAGACTATTTGTCACGTGGCCCAAGCTGGTCTTGAACTCCTGGGGCTCAAGCACACTCAGCCCACCTTGGCCTCTCAAAGTGCTGAGATTACAGGTGTGAGCCACCGCACCTGAAATACTTTCTGAATTTTTTTTTTGAGGCAGGGTCTTGCTCTGTCATCCAGGCTGGAGTGTAGTGGTGTGATCCCAGCTCACTGCAGCCTCTACCTCCCAGGCTCAAGCGATCCTCCCACCTCTCAGCCTCCCGGGTAGCTGGACTACAGGCGTGTGTCACCACACCCAGCTAATTTTTGTATTTTTTTGTAGAAATGGGGTCTCACTATGTTGCCCAGGCTGGTCTTCAACTCCTGGGCTCAAGCAACAATCTACCCACCTCAGCATCCCAAAGTGTTGGGATTACAAGTGTGAGCCACCACACCCAGCCACTTTTTGAATTTAAAGGGGATTTCACAAAGTCTCTTTTTTCTTCACAAACTAAAATATAGAAATAGTTTTAATAAATCAAGAGTACAGCAATATAGTTAAAAAGGTAACAAATCAGGAGCCAATGTGCCAGTCATTTTATGTTTCTAAACCTGTTTCCTAATTTGTAAAATGAGAAAGTATGATTCAATACGTGCATCTAGGGTTTTTCCAGTTGTAAAATTACGAGTCTCTATCTCCTTTTTTTTTTCTACTTCCTTTTTTACAGAATGCCAGGGGGCTTCATCAACTTTTTCCATTAATAAGCCTCAAACTACTATAGTGCATTTTGTGGTTTGTTTGAGCTACAACAATCTAACTTTTTTTTTTTTTTTTTTGAGACGGAGTTTTGCTCTGTCGTCCAGGCTGGAGGGCAGTGGCGTGATCTCGGCTCACTGCAAGCTCCGCCTCCCGGGTTCACGCCATTCTCCTGCCTCAGTCTCCCAAGTAGCTGCGACTACAGGCGCCCGCCACCACGCCCAGCTAATTTTTTGTATTTTTAGTAGAGACGGGGTTTCACCGTGTTAGCCAGTATGGTCCTGATCTCCTGACCTCGTGATCCGCCCACCTTGGCCTCCCAAAGTGCTAGGATTACAGGCGTGAGCCACTGTGGCCAGCCAACAATCTAACATTTTATACTTTTACACATTTTATTATATGGACATCCATACGCCTCCACTGCTTTATGTAGCCCAGTTACTGCACAGATAAGGCAAGAGTGATGTAATATCTACCTGATGCCAGCAAACTCCACCTTCTGGGTGATATAGGCACATGTGCTGACCTAAGAGGAGGGGGAGAGAGGGGTAGAGAGAGGGAGGGAGGGAGAGAGGGTGAGAAAGAGAGAGAGATTGATTAACATATTAAGGCCATGAAAAATCACAAACAAGAACTCCTAGCTTTCTAATCTCTTCTACCAACCCAAAGTTGAACTAGCTTGTGAGTAATAGATTTACCCACAGGAAAACCTGTTAGGGTAGGTATGACAGTAGGTGCTTAAAGAGTTTGGCAAGTATAGATAATAGCAAAGACCAGGTGGATGATAAATGACCAGCTTTACAAATATCCTCATCTTCACATATGTTTACATACATATCTGCATTTACATACTCATTTAAATATTGTGTTGTTTCTCATTTTATCTCTCACTTTAGAAAATGGAACCCTCAACAAATTAAAATTAAGCAGATTTTTCCTGAAAATATACCCTGTATGGAAATTCTACCTATAATTTGTGGTTACATAGTATACAAAAACTTCATTTCTTTTGATTAGTGTCAAAATGGAAAAAAAAACCTCAAATGAGAATTTTCAGAACCAGTTCATAATTCTGATGAACTAATCTTTTCAAGTTGAAATGTTCATTAAAAAATTAATAAATGTGGGTGTGGTGTACTGTTTGGGTAATGGGTGCATCAAAATCTCACGAATCACCATTAAAGAACTTACTCATATAACCAAACACCACCTGTTCCCCAGTAACACGGAAATAAAAAAAAATTAAAAAAAAAAACAATTAAAATATAATAAAAATATTTTTTTTTAAAAAATGGGGCCGGGTGCACTGGCTCACACCTGTAATCCCAGCACTTTGGGAGGCCGAGATGGGACGATCACGAGGTCAGGAGATCGAGACCATCCTGGCTAACGTGGTGAAACCCTGTCTCTACTAAAAATACAAAAAATTAGCCGGGTGTGGTGGCGGGCGCCTGTAATCCCAGCTACTCGGGAGGCTGAGGCAGAAGAATGGGTGAACCCGGGAGGCAGAGCTTGCAGTGAGCAGAAATCGCACCACTGCACTCCAGCCTGGGTGACAGAGCGAGACTCTGTCTCAAAAAAAATAAACAAATGAATAATTAAAAAATGGGCCGGGCACGATGCCTCACACCTATAATCCTAGCACTTTGGGAGGCCAAGGTGGGCAGATCACCTGAGGTCAGGAGTTCAAGACCAGCCTGGCCAACATGGTGAAACCCCCACCTCTACTAAAAATACAAAAAAAAAGCTGGGAGCGGTGGCTCACGCCTGTAATCCCAGCACTTTGGGAGGCCGAGGCGGGCAGATTGCCTGAGGTCTGGAGTTCGAGACCAACCTGACCAACATGGAGAAACCCCATCTCTACTAAAAACACAAAATTAGCCAGGTGCGGTGGTGCATGCCCGTAATCCCAGCTACTGCGGAGGCTGAGGCAGGAGAATCGCTTGAACCAGGAAGGCCGAGGTTGTGGTGAGCCGAGATCACGCCATTGCACTCCAGCCTGGGCAACAAGAAACTCCGTCTCAAAAAAAAATTAGCCGGGCATGGTGGTGGGTGCCTGTAATTCCAGCTACTTGGGAGGCTGAGGCAGGAGAATCGCTTGAACCCAGACGACAGAGGTTACAGTAAGCCAAGATCCCACCATTTCACTCCAGCTTGGGGAAAGAGCGAAACTCCATCTCAGAAAAAAAAAAAAACAATGAATACATGTGGAAAACGGGAAGAGGGTATAGCAAAAAGCAGTGTGATCTGGAAGCCACAGGATCTGGGTTTTGGCCAAGAGTCAACTTACTATCTAGCCTTGGGCAATTACCTAACTTCTCAATCTCAGTTTCTACCTCTATAAATTAGGGATAATAAATACCTGTCCATGAGGAGATGTGAGGAGCAAATGGGATAAAGTGAAAACCTGAAAAGTACGGTTCTATTCCAATGTAAAATACAGTATAACTTCCTATCTAAACCAAAAATGCTGAGTAAAAATCTGTAACAGTAAACAAAAGATCAAAAGAACAGTGAAAAGAGAATGGAAGAACACAGAAGACGTTGACAATAATTGTCTGTAGATGCTGATATAAAATCAGAAACGATTTTATATTCTTCTCCCATAATAAACAGGGATTATTCACATAATGGAAAAAGTAACAGACTTTCAAAAAAAATCACATCTTACCAAACTTTTCTTTAGTCGCCACATATCCCCACGGCCAATATACTGATCCTTAAAAGTTAATTCCACTAGGTCAAGGGTCACATCCTAAAAGGAATAATCAAATGATATCTCTGACATTACTTTGCCACACTTTATAGTCAGAAGGTAATGCCCACTTACCATGGAAAAAAACTTATTGCAAAAAAGAAAACTACTGGAAGACCATTCAGTAGCAGAACTCTGATGAACAGAATTATATCCTGCAAAAGCACACTTTTCAGTATAGTTGGTAAATCTACAACTGATCCTATAGCTGCTGTAGCACATTGAGTGTGATGGGTAGTGGGGGACTCATTCTGTATTTTAGTCTGGATTCTGGCACACAAACATGACACTTACCTATGTACTTTATTTCCCTATTAATGTCAATAGTACTTTCTGGACAATAATTTTTATCTATTATAACATCACTTCTTGAAGAAAAATGAGAATACATTTTAAAATGTTAGTATTTTAATAGAAAGTTTTACATATAGTTTCACATACAGAAAATGGTTAGGACAAGCTTCAAGAAAAGTGGTGGTGGGTTTTAAATGCAACCTACATACTGCCTACATTCTAAATGACATGTAGGCTACATATTTATTTAGTTATTATTATTTTTTGAGACAGGATATTGCTGTTGCCCAGGTTGGAGTGCAGTGGCACGATCTCAGCTCACTCACTGCAGCCTCCGCCTCCTGGGCTCAAGTGACTCTCATGCCTCAGCCTCCCGAGTAGATGGGACTTCAGGGGTGCGCCACCACACCCAGCTAAGTTCTGTATTTTTAGTAGAGACAGGGTTTCACCATGTTTCCCAGGCTGGTCTCAAACTCCTGACCTCAAGTCATCCGCCTGCCTTGGCCTCCCAAAGTGCTGGGATTACAGGCATGGGCCACCACCCATGGTCTACATGTTTAGTTTTACAAGACAAGGTCTTGTTCTGTTGCCCAGGCTGAAGTGCAATAGCGCACAAGCAATCCTCCTGTTGCAGCCTTTCACGTAGTTGGAACTACAGGCATATACAACACACCCAGCTAATCTTTTAGAAAAGTTTTAGTAGGCAGGACGCGGTAGCTCCTACCTGGAATCCCAGCACTCTGGGAGGCCAAGGCAGGTGGATCACCTGAGGTCAGGAGTTCAAGAACAGCCTGGCCAATATGGTGAAACCCTGTCTCTACAAAAATACAAAAATTAGCTGGGTGCGGTGGTGCAGGCCTGTAATCCTAGCTACTCAGGAGGCTGAGGCAGGAGAATGGCTTGAACCTGGGAGGCACCAGTTGCAGTGAGCCGAGATCACGCCACTGCACTCCAGCCTGGGCAACAGTGATACTCCATTTCAAAAAAAAGAAAAAGGAAAGTTTTAATAAAGACAAGGTCTAACTATGCTGCTCAGGCTGGTCTTGAACTCCTGGCCTCAAGTGATCCTCCTGTCTCAGCCTCCTGATGTACTGAAATTACCACACCTAGCAGGCCACACATTTAATAGGCTAACACTACACTTAAGTAACCCATTGTTTCCTTAGTAATCTAACCTTGAGGAAGGGTGCTTATTCCAAAAAGATATTCAAGTACAAAACAAAGACATACCTTAGGGTCTACGACATTAACATAGACATCCTGATAAGGTCTCAGCCGGAACACTTGAGTCACAGTCTGGTCCACACTGATAGTTTCTAAAACAGAAACAATATCTGGCTCAGATAACATATTTTGAAAAAGCAGATCCATATATTCTAATCTATAAACACTCAACTCAGTAAGCAACACAATTGATCATCTGACACGGGCAACACACAGTCTCTTCCTTTCAGGAGCTTAGAATTTAAACAATTCTCTGCTTTTTAGGTGAAATAAGACCAGAGCCTAAGCAATCAACAAAAATGGAGAGAAAAAGGGAGAAGGGAGGGAAAATAAAGAATTTAAGAAGGAAGAGGCTGGGTATGGTGGCTAACACCTGTAATCTCAGCACTTTGGGAGGTCTAGGCAGGAAGATCACCTGAGGTCAGCAGTTCGAGACCAGCCTGGCCAACATGGTGAAACCCTGTCTCTACTAAAAACACAAAAATTAGCCAGGCATGATGGTGGGCGCCTGTAATCCAAGCTACTTGGGAGGCTGAGGCATACAAATCGCTTGAACCCCAGAGACAGAGGTTGTAGCGAGCTGAGATCGTACCACTGCACTCCAACCTGGGTGACAGAATGAGACTCTGTCTCAATAAATAAATAAATTAAATAAGAAGGAAGATAAGAAAGTTCAAAGACCTGTAAAACTCCAGAAGAGAAAGGAGATCTTCTCTTTGGAATGAAGTTATCAGTGGTAAAGAAGAAACAAATTTTTCAATGAGCCCTTAAGTCTGGTAAGAAACGTAACATGGGGCAGGAGATAAGGGGAAGGTATGAAGGCCATTCTTAGGATTAAGGTTTTATAGAATTCTTTTAAAATCTTTAAATTGGCTGCATGTGGTGGCTCAGCAGATCATGAGGTCAGGAGTTCAAGACCAGCCTGACCAACATGGTGAAACCCCGCCTCTACTAAAAATACAAAAAAAATTTAGCCAGGTGTCGTGGTGCGCACCTGTAGTCCCAGCTACTCAGGAGGCAGAGGCAGGAGAATTGCTTGAACCTAGGAGGTGGAAGTTGCAGTGAGCCAAAATCACACCACTGCACTCCAGCCTGGGCGACAGAGGGATACTCCATCTCAAAATAACATAACATAACATAACAAACATAACATAACATAACATAAAAAACATAACACCACACAACATAACAATAAAAATGAAAACTTTAAATTTTTTTTTTACTGCTCCTTGCAGAGCAGGGATAACCCATAGGCAGCGTAACCAGAGTAGCCAGGTTTTATAGAATGTTTTCTCCTCAAATTGAAATATTGAATTGTTAAATATGAGTGGATAGCCAGGCATGGTGACTCATGCCTGTAATCCTAGCACTTTAGGAGGCCAAGGCATGAGGACTGCTTGGGCCCAGGAGTTCAAGACCAGCCTGAGCAAAAATTAAAAAAAAAAAAATTAGCCAGGCATGATCCTGTGGGCTGGGCGTCTGGGGTCTTAGCTACTCGGGAGGCGGAGGTGGGAGATGGAGAATCATTTGCACCCAGGGAGGTTGAGGCTGCAGTGAGCCGTGACTGCACCACTGCACTCCAGTCTGGACAACAGAGAGAGGCCCTGTCTGAAAGGGAAAAAGAAAAAAAAAAAAGGCAGGGGCAATGGTGCAGTGGCTCACGCCTGTAATCCCAGGACTTTGGGAGGTTGAGGCAGGCAGATCACCTGGGGTGAGGAATTTGAGACCAGCCTGGCCAACATGGTGAAACCCCATCTCTACTAAATATATAAAAATTAGGCCGGGCATGGTGGCTCATGTCTGTAATCCCAGCACTTTGGGAGGCCGAGGAGGGCGGATCACGAGGTCAGCAGTTCGAGACTAGCCTGGACAACATAGTGAAACCCTGTCTCCACTAAAAATACAAAAATTAGCCAGGTGTGGTGGCGTGCACCTGTAATCCCAGCTACTGAGGAGGCTGAGGCAGGAGAATCCCTTGAATCCAGGAGGCGGAGGTTGCAGTGAGCTGAGACCATGTCATTGCGTTCCAGCCTGGGTGACAGAGTGAGACTCCATCTCAAAAAAATAAAAATATAAATATAAAAATTAGCCAGGCATGGTGGTGCACGCCTGTAGTCCTAACTACCTGGGAGGCTGAGGCAGGAGAATCACTTGAACCCAGGAGGCGCAGGTTGCAGTCAGCCAAGATTGTGAGACTGCACTCCAGACTCCAGCCTGGGCAACAGAGTGAGACGCCATCTCTTTAAAAAAAAAGAAAGAGTGGGTGACATCAAAGCCCTTTATTTTATTTATTTATTTATTTAGAGACAGAGTTTTGTTCTTGTTGCCCAGGCTGGAGTGCAATGGCGTGATCTCAGCTCACCACAACTTCTGCCTCCCAGATTCAAGCAATTCTCCTGCCTCAGCTTCCCGAGTAGCTGAGATTACAGGCATGCGCCACAATGCCTGGCTAATTTTATATTTTTAGTAGAGACGGGGTTTTACCATGTTGGTCAGGCTGGTCTCAAACTCCTGACCTCAGGTGATCCACCTACTTCAGCCTCCCAAAGTGTTGGGATTACAGGCGTCAGCCACTGCACCCAGCCATCAAAGCCCTTTAGAGCAACCCAGAATTTTGTTTTTTTCTCTTAAGAACTATTTAAAAGAGTATCTTATTTACTTTCAATTAACATTTTGGTTCCTTGAACAGCATGGCATAGCCATTAGAGGGAAAAAGAAAGGATTTGAATCCAGAATAAGTAAGCAGGAATCACTGCTTCTGGCTACGCCTAGACTGTATAGTCCGGCAGATAATAAACTTCCTCACTCACTCAAGAGTTGTTGGGAAGATAATGCTAGATTACACAAAGCTCCCAGGATAGTACCTTGCACAATGTGGTGGGCGATCATCAATATATATTTCTTCCTCCCCAATCCCTACTCACCCAGAGTAGGCATTTAACAAATAGTTTGTGAAAAAATGGGACAGATGTGGTGGATCACACCTGCAATCTTAGCACTTTGGGAGGTCAAGGTGTCAGGAACTCCACTTGAGGCCAGGAGTTCAAGACCAACCTGGGCAACAGGCAGGTTGTGTATTTTTTTTTTTTTTTTTTTTTTGAGCCGGAGTCTCGCTCTGTCGCCCAGGCTGGAGTGCAGTGGCGTGACCTCGGCTCACTGCAACCTCCGCCTCCCGGGTTCAAGTAATTCTCCTACCTCGGCCTCCAGGGTAGCTAGGATTATAGGTGCATGCCACCACACCCGGCTAATATTTTGTATTTTAGTAGAGACAGGGTTTCACCGTTTTGCCCAGGCTGGTCGCAAACTCCTGAGCTCAGGCAATCCGCCTGCCTCAGCCGCCCAAACTCCCAGGATTACAGGCATAAGCCACCGTGCCTGGCCTATTTTTTTTTTTTTTTTTTTTTGAGATAGGGTCTTGCTCTGTTGACCAGGCTAGACTGCGGTGGCACCGTTATAGCTCATTGAAACCTCAAACTCTTGGGACCCAATGATCCTTCCACCTCAGCCTCCAGAGTAGCTAGGACTATAAGCGTCACTTTACAATTTTTTTTTTAGTGGCAACATAGTTTGATAAGAAGAGAACTACAGTCATAAAAAAATGGAATCATGTCCACTGCAGCAACATGGATGGAGTTGGAGGCCACCATTATCCTAAGTGAACTAACTCACAAACAGAAAACCAAATACTGCATGTTCTTACCTATAAGTGGGATGGAAATAATAGACACTTGGGACTCCAAAAACAAGGACAGGGAAGAGAATGAAGGTTGAAAAATACAATGTTCAGGCTGGGTGTGGTGGCTCACGCCTGTAATCCCAGCACTTTGGGGGGCCAAGGCAGGAGGATCATGAAGTCAGGAGATTGAGACCATCCTGGCTAACACGGTGAAACCTCGTGTCTACTAAAAATACAAAAAATTAGCCAGGCGTGGTGGCAGGTGCCTGTAGTCCCAGCTACTTGGGAGGCTGAGGGAGGAGAATGGTGTGAACCCAGGAGGCGGAGCTTGCAGTGAGCCGAGATCGCGCCACTGCACTCCAACCTGGGTGACAGAACAAGACACTGTCTCAGAAAAAAAAAAAAAAACAATGTTAAGACACAGATACAACATTCTTTATCTGTATCTGTTCTGTCAGATACAAGGTTCACTGTGTAATGGATACAATAGAAGCCCAATCCCCACCAGTACACAATATACCCATGTAACAAACATTCCCATGTACTGCCTGAATTGAAAGTTAAATTAAAATTTGTTTAAAAAAGAAGAGAATTACTTGCCCTCATCCCTTGAAATTATGAAGAGAGATTTCTTACAGTTTCTGAGGCAGTAAATAAAAAATTCTAAGAAGAGTGATATAATTCTTACCCTTCTGTAAATCTTCCTTAAGAGACTTGACCTGCAAAAGCAGAGGGCTGAAAAAGAAAGCAACAAGAGAGTTGGGATACCGTGAACAGTAACTCCCTAGCAACCTTCATCCCCGACAAAAGGCAAATAGGTCACTCTGGCCATTCTGTGACTTACAGCACAACAACGGGAGAAAGCTCCCTCAGAAACAAAGAAACTCGGCCAGGTGCGGTGGCTCACGCCTGTAATCCCAGCACTTTGGGAGGCCGAGGCAGGTGGACCACGAGGTCAGGAGATCGAGACCATCCTGGCTAACACGGTGAAACCCCTTCTCTACTAAAAAATAGAAAAAATTAGGCCGGGTGTGGTGGCTCATGCCTGTAATCCCAGCACTTTGGGAGGCCGAGACGGGCGGATCATGAGGTCAGGAGATCGAGACCATCCTGGCTAACACAGTGAAACCCCGTCTCTCCTAAAAATACAAAAAAATTAGCCGGGCATAGTGGTGGGCGCCTGTAGTCCCAGCTACTTGGGAGGCTGAGGCAGGAGAATGGCGTGAACCCGGGAGGTGGAGCTTGCAGTGAGCCAAGATTGTGCCACTGCACTCCAGCCTGGGCGACAGAGCAAGACTCCGTCTCACAAAAAAAAAAAAAGAAACAAAGAAACTCCATACGCACTAAAGGAAATGGACAAATGCTACAGAACCTTTCAGTTGTCATCTCAGCTTTAAAACCAGAAAGAGGCTGGGCTCGGTGGCTCATGCCTATAATCCCAACACTTTGGGAGGCCAAGGCAGGTGGATCACCTGAGGTCAGGAGTTCGAGACCAGCCTGGCCAACATGACGAAACCCTGTCTCTATTAAAAATACAAAAATTAGCCAGGTGTGGTGGCCCACACCTGTAGTTCCAGCTACTCGACAGGCTGAGGCAGAAGAGTCACTTGAACCCAGGAGGCAGAGGTTGCAGTGAGCCGAGGTGGCACCACTGCACTCCAGCCTGGGTGACAGAGCGAGACTCTGTCTCTTAAAAAAAAAAAAAAAAAAAAAAGGCTGGGCGCGGCAAGGTAGCTCATGCCTGTAATCCTAGCACTTTAAGAGGCCAAGGCAGGCGGATCACGAGGTCAGGAGTTCGAAACCAGCCTGACCAACATGGTGAAACCCCGTCTCTACTAAAAATACAAAAATTAGCCAAGCATGGTGGCACGCGCCTGTAATCCCAGCTACTCAGGAGGCTGAGGCAGGAGAATGGCTTGAACCCGGAAGACAGAGATTGCAGTGAGCCAAGATCCCACCACTGCACTTCAGCCTGGGTGACAGAGTGAGATTTCATCTCAAAAAAAACAAAAAAAAACAAAAAAAACAAAAAAAACGGCTCGGTATGGTGGCTCATGCCTGTAATCTCAGCACTTTGGGAGGCCTAGCAGGATGGATGACTTGAGACAAGCCTGGACAATATGGTGAAACCCCATCTCTACTAAAAAACACAAAAATTAGGCCAGGTGCGGTGCCTCATACCTGTAATCCCAGCACATTGGGAGGCCAAGGCCAGTGGATTACCTGAGGTCAGGAGTTCAAGACCAGCCTGGGCAACATGGTGAAACCCTGTCTCTACCAAAAATGCAAAATTAGCTGGGCGTGATGGCGCATGCCTGTAATCTCAGCTACTCGGGAGGCTGAGCCTGTAATCTCAGCTACTCAGGAGGCTGAGGCAGGACAATCACTTGGGGCTGGGAGGCAGAGGTTGCAGTGAGCTGAGATTACACAACTGCACTCTAGCCTGGGTGACAGAGCTAGACTCCATCTCAAAAAAAAAAAAACGAAGGAATGGACCACTTTTGAAAAATTATTTGTTGATCAAATCCTAGAAGGCATGATCATTTTTTTTTAAGACAGGGTCCCTCTATGTTGCCCAGGCTGGTCTCGAACTCCCGGGCTCAAATGACCTACCCACCTCAGCCTCCCAAAGTGCTGGAATTACAGGATTGAGCCATCACAGCATGAGCATTTTGAAAGGCAAAGAGAGCTATCTGCCTTGGACATCATTTGGAAACAGTGAATTGCCCAGTTCCATGGATCCTATGAGACACTCACCTGTATTCATCGTTGGGGTGTGCAATCTCTACAATGTCTCCAAGCTTGATGTGAGGGAACACTTTGGGGTTCACAACTAGCTCATCATCTGAAAGACAATTCAGCCACTTCAAGTAGAAAAACACTCATTAGGTACACTGTATGTTCTCATACTGGTTCCTCACAACCCCATCAGGATGGTATTGCCACCCCATTGACAGATGAGGTTCTATTTTGAAACGAGGCTTACAATGACTAATGGATTCACACAGGAACACCAAGCTACACAGCAGCAGAGTGGGATGGCGCTCAGGTACCTTTGTCTCCATACCCTGTGCCCTTTCTACTACCGCACTGCTTCCAGGGGCAGAGCAGCCCTTAGTATCTGGGAATTAGGCTTCTGGACAGCCTTTTACCCCCTCAAATATTGTGTATCTGGCATATAACAGGAACAAAACAGGCTGGTTCCCACAGATACAGCACAATTCGTTACAGTTATTCAATGTTCAAAGAATTTCCCAAACAGTGTCTTAATGTGACCGTCACAATAAATCTTTAGATCTAACAGGAGTAAGAAAATAACCTCAGAGAGTCCAGGAGCAGTGGCTCATGCCTGTAATCCCAATACTTTGAGAGGCCGAGATGGACAGATCACCTGAGGTCAGGAGTTCAAGACCAGCCTGGCGAACATGGCGAAACCCCGTCTCTACTAAAAATACAAAAATTAGCCAGGTGTGGTGGTGGGAGCCTGTAATCCCAGCTACTTGGGAGCCTGAGGCAGGAGAATCACTTGAACCCGGGAGGCAGAGGTTACAGTGAGCCGAAATCACACCACTGCACTCCAGCCTGAGTGACAGAAAGAGACTGCATCTCAAAAAAATAAATAAATAAAATAAGAGGGATGTGGTTTCATGTTTATCTACCCCTGCCCCTCTACTAGGGATGGGGAGAACTCTATCAAATATTGCAAACTCAGAAGCATAAAGACAGAATGACTGTTTTGCTGTTTTAATTTGCAAGGAAAGACATCACCTTTAATTATGCTAATATCATGACAATTAAGTTTATCTAGATTTCAAATATAATCAGACCCAACAAAAATTTAGCCTAGTAAAATGAAACATTGGCTTACTCCCAAATTTTTTTGTTTTCTTTTAGAGATAAGGTCTTGCTGTTGCCTAGGCTGGCGTACAGTGGCTATTTACAGGGACAATCCCACTGCTGATCAGCACAGGAGTTTTGACCTGCTCTGTTCCCAACCTGAGGTGGTTCACACTTCCTAAGGCAAGCTGGTGGTCCCCCACTCCTGGGAGGTCACTATATTGATGCAGAACTTAGTGCAGACACCCAATCAGCATAATGTACTATAGTCTGGAACTCCTGGGCCCAAGTGATCCTCCTGTCCCAGCCTCTTGAGTAGCTGTGACTACAGGCATACACCACTGCACCCAGCAATCCCTAATTTTATTTGCTATGTTTCCACTGACAGTTTCACGACAAATGCTCTTTGGAGCTTCCTCCCTAATTTACATAGTCTGAATTAAGGTCCCTGAGAACATATCCCCTTCTGCTTGGTTTTATCATTTCCTTTTTGCATGTCTATCTTACCAAACTGAAAACTCTTTAGGGACAAAGAACCTTGTGGCATTCATAATCATTACGTCTGGCACAGGTATACACCTAATAAATATCTGTTGGTTGTTTCTTTTTTTTTTATTATTTTTTATTTTTTTAAAGACAGGGTCTTGCTCTATTGCCCAGGCTGGAGTGTAGTGGCATGATCTCGGCTCACTGCAACCTCTGCCTCCTGGGTTCAAGCAATTCTCGTGCCTCAGCCTCCCTAGTAGCTGAGATTACAGGCACGCACCACCACACCTGGCTAATTTTTGTATTTTTAGTAGAGATGGGGTTTCACTATGTTGGCCAGGCTGGTCCTGAACTCCTGACCTCATGTGATCTGCCCACCTTGACCTTCCAAAATGCCAGGATTACAGTCATGAGCTACCATGTCCAGCTGTTAGTTGTATTTTGACCTATAGTCTTGCAGAAGACTGGATACAGCATCTAACTACCTTTGTATTTTATACATAAAAACATGTATTTGTATACGTTGTATATACTGTATCCTTGTATTCTTTTCTCTGCCAAAAGTTATTTGCTTTATTCCACTCCACAAATATTTAGGCAACATCAACAGCATCAAAGTAATAACAATAGACTGTGCATTTTAGCAGAAATTGTAGTTTAAATATAGCAATGCCTGTAGCCTGGTAATTACAATGGCTACATTTATTGAGCACAGAGTCTAACACTCTGCTAAATGCATTACATGTATCACTTTACTTAAGCCTCACAATGCTCTATGATAGAGAAACTATTGTTTTCCCTTTTTGGCAGTCCTTCCCCTCTGGAGGCTTATACCTACATAATGTAGAAGTAAATACACCCTAAAATACAATGTTAAAAAGACTCATGCCAGCGCGGTGGCTCTTGCCTGTAATCCTAGCACTTTGGGAGGCTAAGGTGGGCGGATTGCCTGAGCTCAGGAGTTCGAGACCAGCCTGGGAAACATGGTGAAACCCTCTCTACTAAAATACAAAAAAAAAAAAAAAAAAATAGCCAGGTGTGGCGGCATGCACCTGTAGTCCCAGCTACTCGGGAGGCTGAGGCAGAAGAATTGCTTGAACCTGGGAGGTGGAGGTTGCAGTGAGCTGAGATCACGCCACTGCACTCCAGCCTGGTGACAGAGCGAGACTCTGTCTCAAAAAAAAAATGCCAATAAATAATAAAATAAAATAAAAAGATTCATTATATTGTTAACTCCAATTTCTGAAGTAAATAATGCTGTTAAGACAGAATGGAAAATTATTCCCTTACAAAAGAAAAAAAAATTATACTAAGTGCCCTTTTATTCTTCAGATTTATGGATTCAAGGCACTAAGGAGAGCTGGGTACAGTGGCTCACGCCTGTAATCCCAACTATTAGGGAGGTTGAGGTTGAGGTGGAAGGATCTTTTGAGCTCTAGAGTTCCAGACTAGCCTGGGCAACATGGGGGACCGTGTCCCAAAAAAAAAAAGAAAAGAAAAGAAAGGAAAAAAAATAGATGTTAAGAGAAACTATTCTAAAGCCCTTCAACTTTCAGATAAGGTACACTAGGAGCTTGCCCAAGGTCACCAGGAAAATTAGAAGCAGAGTAGATACTCAGACTATAGCTCAGTGCAGAATAACATGCTGTATCCTGCTCCTTCTTCCCATGCCTACAAGCCAGGCAAAGGTTCATGCTTTGATCATACCTGCTCTATGCACATCTATGCCACTTCTCTCTCACTCAATGTAAAAACTGATAAACGATTTTAGTTTCTCTTATCTGCCAAACCAGTGCAGGCTGGAATTTTATGGAACATACACGGAAGATTTGTAATTAATAATGCAATTCAACAAATGAAGGGTAGTAAACCGGCAGCATTCACAATGTTCCTTAAAAGTCTGAATGCAAATGCATTAGAAGGGTCCTGCCATCCTCCTATTGTTACTGTATGACAGTTGCTGCTTTAGTCTGTTTAGTCGCCTGTTTAGCCTCAATTGTCACACGAGTCAGTGTGTAATTTCTAGGTATTGCACACACCAGAACCTCAGCCAACTTACAAAACCTCTAAAGACCAATCGATACTGACCACTGCCCCCAAAGCCCTTCTTGTGGATGACGAGTTTGTAGACCTTTGTTGTTCTCATCTTGCACTGTTTTTCCCTTTAGCTGTTCCAAGCTTGGGGCAGAGAAGTCATCTTGCCTCCCTGCCACAGAAATACAAACGAAAAGGTTGGAATGTCAGATTTTTCCTTGCAACCACTCTTTGATTTTAGGCCAGTGAAGATACTGGTGTTCCTCTGCTGTGAAGTGGTGCCAAGTGACTCTCGGAAGAAGTCACTCCTCCAGTTACAAGGAGCGATGGAGAACAAATAGAACCACAGAATCCAGGAACTAAGGGGAATTCGGGCCAGGGGCTAGTCAAACCTAGGAGAAGATATTCTATCACACCCCCATAGGGGAAGCATTGCGCTGAATGGGTGCTCATCACCTTGTCTCCATCTACACCAATAACACCCAAATAGTAAAGAGATCTTAAAAGAGGTTAGCCCACTCATTTTGTAGATGATGAAAGTGTGACTCCGGGCAAGGGACTTGCTCAAGGTCACTCGAGACTTAAGAGACACTCCCACCATTCTCGTTTTGCTGCCAATGTCCTGAGCAAGGCAACCACAAAGAGGAGGAAGGCAGAAGTTCCTTCCCCAAACCTCGGTCTGTGCGAACTCTCAGCAGACCTTCCCTGACTCCGTTTCACAGCTGAGGCCGTTGAGGCTCAGAGAGGGAGAGAGACTTGTCCAAGGTCACACAGCGGAATGGGGATGGAGCCTGGAACTCGAACCTGGGCCAAGGTCCCCTATCTCAAGCCCCCCCAATCCCCAGTCCGGGGCGGGCAGCTCCACTCACCGAAGCTCTAGAGCCCCTTCCCGCCTCTGGCCGGGGCACTGAGGGCTGGACCCTCTCCAGGTTCCCTGCGCCTCCTCCAGATACCCCGCCTACGCCCGCGCGGCCCGCGCTGTTCCGCCCCTAAGCCTGAAGCGCCTACTAGGCCCGCCCCGACCGTGTAGCGCTCACCTGAGAACCCGCGCCGCTCCGGTGGCTCCGCCCCGGGGCCCCGCCTCCTTCCCGCCCTCGCGCCCCCGCGCCGCTCTCGCCGGGCCTCCGTCTCGTCTCGGTGGCCGCACCACTTCCTCATCCGGGGCTCGAGCCGGGGGCGGGGCGTCGTGTGCGGCCTCTTCCTTGGGCCACCTCCTGGCGTTTCCTGCCCTCGAGCACTAGAGCCTCCCGCCCCACGGAGGAAATCCATTTCCTCCTAGTCTATCCGAAGTAGATCCATGGCCACAGAGCTTCGTTTCCGACTCAGTGATCTCCCCACAGGGGAAACGAGATCCGTCAGAGCTCCGTTTTCTGTTATATGAACGAGGTTAATGACTCATGTGGCCTCATTGGGCAGCTAAGAGGCGCCAACGAGAGTTTCTGGGAGGACTTCTGTAAAATGCAAGGGGCTGAGCACGCGAGAGTTAGGGTGATGGCCTCTGCTGGGAAGTGTCCACTTACGGGGGGCTTTTCAAACCCTTGCAAACTCTAAACGACGTTCTGCGCCCCTCAGGTTATTAATAAGAATGGCTGCCGTGGCTTCATAGTCCTTATGTAATCATTGCATCCCTATTACCTGATGGATGCAGGAGGCAGATACTATCCTATTTCACAAACCAGGAAACAGCCTGAGGACACAAAACCCTTCAGAAGGAAGCAAGGACGAATCCTGACCCGTTCCCAGAACGGGGCCTTTAACCAACATCCTTTGGTCATACCCAGGGCACTGCCTAAACTCGCGTCTGTCAGGATATCTTTCTCTCCAAGCAGAAAACCAGAGAGCTGGGTGGGCTGGGTCAGGCTCTGGCCAAGGACTCCTGACAATTGCCAGCTCCGCCTGCTGCCACTGATACCCCCGCCCCCTAGTCCAGTCCACCGTTTCTGACCTGAGCGGCAGCAACTCGATAGGGACTCCCTGCTTCCCCTCTTGAAGCCAGAGAGACCTTATAACTAGAATCGGTGTCTTGGGTCACGCCTCTCCTCTGCTGCTTCTAATCACACTGACTGCTAAATCTAAACGACACAGCACTTGTCTTAAATTTCTTTATATCTTTAATACTAACAGTGCCCATTTCTTACGGATTTGGAAAACTTAAAAATGTTGAAAGAAAAAACATGTTACACTGTAGTGAAAGATTCTGCAGTGGACCAAGGGGACCCTGGGACAGGACAAGCAACGTTCTTAAGCATGGATGCCTTTATGTTGGGACTCAGGAGAAGTTAGGTAAATAATGCAAGTGTTAAGTAATTGCAATTTTTTTGTTTGTTTGTTTTTTTGTTTTTGTTTTGAGATGAGGTCACCCTCACCCAGGCTGGAGTGCAGTGGCATGATCCCGTCTCACTGCCATCTCTGCCTGCCTGGCTCATGCGATCCTCCCACCTCAGCCTCCTAGTAGCTGGGATTACAGGTGCATGCTCAGCTAATTTTTGTATTTTTTGTAGAGACGGGGTTTTGCCATGTGGCCCAGGCTGGTCTCAAACTCCAGAGCTCAAGTAATCCGTCCGCCTTGGCCTCCCAAAGTTCTGGGATTACAGGCACCAATCACTGTAGCCGGGCCTTTTTTTTCCCCCAAGACCAGGTCTAGCTCTGTTGCCAAGGCTGCAGTGCAGTGGTTCTATCATAGCTCACTGCAACCTCAATTTTCTGGGCTCAAGTGATTCTTCTGCCTCAGCCTCCCAAGGGACTGGGACTACAGGCCAAGCCACCACTCCTGGCTGAAATTGTTTATCTTGTAATAAAACATATGTGATACAGTGGATTGCAACAGTTACAAAATTTTTTAAGAATAACAATGTTATGTTAAAAAATGTTTCTATGTTGCCACTTCAGGAGATACACCTAGATCCCCCAAGATAGTTTTTGTCTTTAGCAATGGTGGTTGATGGGACATTCTTCCATCCCTGGGGAAGCTAATAGGATTCTCTCTTCTTAGCCCTCAAGGGAATTTGATTCCTTCTCCTGAGAGATGTCCATAATGGGACATCTTAAAAAGGCAAATTTTTTTTTTTTTTTGAGACGGAGTCTCCCTCTGTCGCCCAGGCTGGAGTGCAGTGGCCCGATCTCGGCTCACTGCAACCTCTGCCTCCCGGGTTCATGCCATTCTCCCGCCTCAGCCTCCCGAGTAGCTGGGACTACAGGTGCCCGCCACCACGCCTGGCTAATTGTTTATAATTTTTAGTAGAGAGGGGGTTTCACCGTATTAGCCAGGATGGTCTTGATCTCCTGACCTCGTGATCCGCCCGCCTTGGCCTCCCAAAGTGCTGGGATTATAGGCTTCAGCCACCACGCCCGGCCAAAAGGCAAATATTTTAACTTTTTAATTTGGCAACTCTCATAAAGAAACTCTGAAGGCCAGGAGTGGTGGCTCACGCCTGTAATCCCAGCACTTTGGGAGGCCGAGGCAGGCGGATCACTCGAGGTCAGGAGTTCAAGACCAGCCTGGCCAACATGGTGAAACCCTGTCTCTACTAAAAATACAAAAATTAGCTGGGCATGGTAGCATGCGCCTGTAATCCCAGCTACTCAGGAGGCTGAGGCTGGAGAATCTCTTGAACCTGGGAGGCAGAGGTTGCAGTGAGCCGAGATCCTACCACTGCACTCCAGCCTGGTGTCAGAACGTGGCCCCGTCTCAAAAAAAAAAAAAAGAAAGAAAGAAACGAAACTTTGAAGCATTCAATTTTTTTTTTTTTTTTTTTTTTTGAGACAGTGTCTTGTTTTGTTGCCCAGGCTGGAGTGCAGTGGGGGCACCATCATAGCTCAATGCAGCTTCAAACTCCTGGGCTCAAACGATCCTCCTGCTTCAGGCTCCCCAGTAGCTAGGAGCACAGGTGCATCAACACCTGAGCAATTTTTGTTTTGTTTTGAGAAAGAGTCTTGCTGTGTCATCCAGGCTGGAGTGCAGTGGCACTATCACTGCTCACTGCAGCCTCAACCTTCCAGCCTCAAGTGATCTTCCTGCCTCAGCCTCCAGAGTAGCTGGGATTACAGGCACACATCACCAGACCCAGCTGTTTGTTTTTTGGCAGAAACGATGTCTCACTATGTTGCCCAGGCTGGTCTCAAACTTCTGGGCTGAAGTGCTTCTCCCGCTTTCGCCTCCCAAAGTGCTGGATTACAGGCGTGAGACACCGCGCCTGGTCGATTTCTATTTTTTAACACAAAGCCGTATTATTTGGGGCAAGTCGATTTCATTATCTGGACCTCAATTCTTCCACTGGATAAACATTTCTTCCTTCCTTCAAATGTCCATTGAGCGTCTAGTTTTGTGCCGGACACTGCTCTTGGTGCTGAGCATTAAGTGATGAACAAAACAGACAAGGTGGAGGAAGATAAATGATAAACAAGTCAATAAAGAGATGAGACATAGAAATTTCAGCTAGTGTTAAAGCTATGAAGAAAATAAAACAAGGTTCTGTAACCAACTGGAGGCAGAGGTGCCATTTATTTAGTGGTCAGTGTGATTAGAAGAAGCAGAGGAGTGTCATGACCCAAAACACTCTTTCCAGTAGAATAAGATCTCTCGGGCTGCCAGAGTGGAAGCAGGCAGGCCCTTAGAATTGTAGCCGTCCAGACTAGAAAAACGGTGGACTGGAACAGGGTGACAGCAGCGAAGGCCGGCACTGGGTCCTGTGGCTCAGCAGGAGCAGAACCAAAAGTTGTGTTTCCCTTTAAGAGTTTGAGCCGCAGGGGCGGGGTTGAGGGAGGCTGGGGCTAGCAGAGGGCGGGAGGTCAGAATCAGGAAGAGCCTTCCCTTGGAGTGCGCGCGCGCGGTGCGGGGGCGGGATTTGGGCGAGTCCGCATGGCTGGCTCGGGCCCCGGATGAGGAAGTGCAGGGGGACCATAGAGACGAAGAGGTGGCGGCGGCCGGAGCGCCCCCGGCCTCTGTCGGCTCCGTAGGCTCAGGTAGACCTGGCGACGACGGGGCTGCAGCTGCAGGGGCTGAGCTGGCTGGGCAAGCGCGGGCCGCGGAGGAGGTCTCAGGGTAAGAGGCCGGGACTGGAAGGCTTCGGGCGTAGCCGCCCCGCCCCACTCCGCCCTAAAGGGACCCTCCGCCGGGTGGTGCTGCTAAAGGGGAGTCCAGGCCCCCCGCCCTCTCGGGGCGCGGAAAGGAACCAAGGCTGCCCTGTGGGCGGCGGAACGACCCAGGGAGAGGGAGGAGACCAGGCCCCGCGTCGCTAGAGAAAAGCGGCTTCTCCGAGTCATGGCTCCGACGCGGGAGAGAGACTCCTCTTCAACCTCGATACAACAGGGATCCCCCAACTTATCTCCTCGGAGAGGACGACGCCCCTTATCGGAGGCGTACGCTCTTTCTTAGCGCTCATCCGTTGGTCAGCAGAGGGAGACCCACTCCCAGGGTTCGAGGGGGATTCTGAACTTATCCTGAGGAGGAGTAAAAGATAACCCCTAAATGAGACCTTTCCCCCAACTTTGGTCAGCGTCACCCAGGTGAAGAGTGAGACCCAACTTGCCTGAAAGTGACAGAGGGGATCTTTCTTCCCAGTAAGAAAGAGACTTACCTTCCTCCTTTATTTTTCGCCTGTACCCCAAGATACGGAGAGGAAGACCTTGAAATTTTACTTTATGGTATCAGAAATCAACCTTTCTCCCTCTCCCCTCGTGATGTCCACAGAGAGACCCTCGCTTCTCTTCTTCCCTTTAAGCCTCTTGGTGTGCAGTGAGCTCCTTTCCCTTGCATTATTAAGAGCATGGCTTTTGGAGTGTAATCGTTGCAAACCTGGGTCTCTCACTTAACGTCTTTGTGACCTTGACTATTTGTTTAACTTGTCTGAATCTCAGTCCATCTCCAATTTGGGTTCTGTTTTCTTAGAATTGTCATGCGGGCTAAGGGAGCATTTGTGTAAATACTAGTTATATAGTAAGCTTTTGGTAAGCTGTTGCTATTACTATTACTTAATCTGTTAAAAAAGAAAACTAATATCTTGCACAGAGAAGCATATTTTTCCATGCATGCCCCTCGCAGCCTCCATCACAAGTGTTCAACCATCCTTTCTCACTGGAGTGGAAGACTCCCTCCCACTTAGGGGTTAGAGAAAGAGACACTTCCAGTCCCCTTAGATCCTGCTGTTCAATACTTTCCCAAATTAACAAAGAGGGCCTCACTGAAAATAATCAGTAAAAAAAAGACTTAGCTTTTGGAAACAGGTCTGTGCTCTTAAGAGAAAGTGAGACCTGATGCCAGACGCCAGCACTTCCTTTGTCCACAGAAGGTATCACTTCTTCCTGACTGGTTAGAGATGCCCTCTCCCACTTCCCTGACTTACTGTAGTGACAAAAAATCTTCCATCTGCACATCCTTCCCACCCCCCCAAGTGGGCGATTCCATATTCTTCCTGTCTTTTGCTCTCCCAAGAAAATGAAGACTCTATACCTTTGAGGAGAGATCTCTTCCCTCTTGTATATGGAAAATGACACAGATTGTTTCTTTTCTCCTTTTCCTTTATAAAACAGAGGAAAATCTTTTATACAGGAAGCCTCTGTCAGTAGAAATCAGGAGCATTTTCCAGTTTCACTCCTTACGTGGAGACAGGGATCCTTTTTCTGGATGTTATTAAAGGGAGGAAATGGGAAATAGTCCTTGATGCTTTAGAGATTTTCTGCACGCTCCATGTTGAAGCGCTTGCCCTGTTTAGTGTATGAACTTCCCTGCCTCACTTTTGGTTTGTCTTGGGATTTTATTAAAAAACTCTTCTTTCTTTGTTTCTCAAGAAGAGGCCCATTCTCCAAATTCCCTCTTGGAGGGAATGGCTACAATGTCTGAATCTTTGGAAAAGAAAGCCCCTTTCTCAAGGTGAAAAGAGTGTTGTGAGCTTCTGAGGGCCTGGTCATTATTGTGAGTATTGTTCCTGAAGCAAGCATGGCAGCGCCTAGTGTTATTAACAGCCCCTATGCATTGGAATTAAAGGGAGGGGAGACTTTCAGATTCGGGATTATTGAGGCACACGGTTTTATGTTCTGTTTTTTTTTTGCTTGTTGCTGTAAATTTTGTACCTCCAGAACTTTTGTTTTGGGGAGTGTTTGAATGACTAAAAGTTGCCACTTTGTCAGGTTTTTAGTGTTATAAAATGTATTCTGATGAGATTGAGAGCAACAATGTTAATCCTTCACTGGTAGGTTTGTTTTCCTGTTTTTGTTTTTTTTTTTTTTTGGTGGGATAGGAATTAACACTGCCAAATTACCTGAAAGCACACTAAAGAAACGCTTACCATCTTTTTTTGTATGTAAAGTGTTCTTAAATTACCTCAAACGCCGTTGAGTAATTGCAGAGGGGATTAGTGGGAGCTCTATACCACCATTGTTGGTGTCTGTAGGTGTGCTTTTCTGAAACAAAGGGAAATAGAAAAGTTATTCTTTGGAGTCTTAGGATATTTATGGGTGACAAGACCCTTTGAGCTTATTTTGATGAACATGTGAAAAACAAGCCCGGGAAAGTTCACTTAACTTTCACTTAACACACTCAAGACTCTGCATCTAGTATGTGAGAGCAGGATAAGGGACCCTGGCTTCCTGATGAAGAGACCAGCAGTTAAGACTGCTGGGAGAGGCCAGGCGCGGTGGCTCATGCCTCTAATCCCAGCACTTTGGGAGGCCGAGGCGGGTGGATCACCTGAGGTCGGGAGTTTGAGACCAGCCTGACCAACATGGAGAAACTCCATCTTTACTAAAAATACAAAACAAATTAGGTGGGCATGGTGGCACATGCCTGTAATCCCAGCTACTAGGAAGGCTGAGGCAGGAGAATCGCTTGAACCTGGGAGGCAGAGGTTGCGGTGAGCCGAGATCATGCTGTTGCACTCCAGCCTGGGAAACAAGAGTGAAACTCTGTCTCAAAAAAAAAAGACTCCTGGGAGAGGGTCAGGCGCGGTGGCTCACACCTGTAATCCCAGCACTTTGGGAGGCCGAGGCGGGCGGATCACAAGGTCAGGAGATCAAGACCATCCTGGCTAACTCAGTGAAACCCCGTCTCTACTAAAAATAAAAAAAATAAAAAAATTAGCCAGGCGTGGTGGCGGGCACCTGTAGTCCCAGCTACTTGGGAGGCTGAGGCAGGAGAATGGCATGAACCCGGGAGGCAGAGCTTGCAGTGAGCCAAGATCGCGCCACTGCGCTCCAGCCTGAGCAACAGAGTGAGACTCCGTCTCAAAAAAAAAAAAAAAAAAAGACTGCTGGGAGAAGTATTTGTGCGTTTGCAAAGAAAGAACATGAAATAATTGTCCTCAACGTAAAAGAATTTCTACTTTTACTGGAATAATAATTTTCATACTTCCTGTAAGTATTAGTCAGTTTTTGGGAATAAATCCATTCCCTACACATTCTAATATAGTACTTATTTGTGTTGTGATAAAGACGACAAGCCAGTAGCAGCTGTCAAAAGTCGTTCATAAATCTATGGTTTATTTTTTGCTTATACCTCAAACTAGGTAATTATCTGGTATCCTCACCCAATAGGTTGATTATAAGTCATTAGCAAAGATTAAGCTGTAAATCCCTGTCTACATTTTATAAGCATGTGTTACTCACTCTTCCCTTTTACTTCACATTTAACACTTTAATGTAAAAGCATTGGTGGTTAAGGCAGAGAGCTGACAGCTGGAAAAATACTGATAAAACATACTGATAAAAAATACTGAAAATACACTTATCAGCTGTTTTTATTGCTGTGTGTTTAGATCTTGAGAAATAATGGTTAGACAACATTTTAACATATGTAATATATACTCACTGTTTTGAAAAATAAGTACAAGGCTGGGTGCAGCAGCTCACTCTGGGAGGCCGAGGTGGGAGGATCACTTGAGGCCAGGAGCTCAAGACCAGCCTGTGCAATGTAGTGAGACCTTGTCTCTACAAGAAATAAAAATATTTGCTGGGTTCACTGCCTCGCGCCTGTAGTCCTGGCTGCTTAGGAGGCTGAGGCAGGAGGATTGCTTGAGTCCAGAGTTTGAAGTTATAGAGAGCTGTGATCAAGCCACTGCATTCCAGCCTGGGCCACAGAGACCCTATCTCCAAAAAAAAAAGTTCAACATACAGATAAGTCATTGGTGATCCTATTGTCCAAGGTAACACTGTGATACTTGGCTTATATATATATATATATTTTTTTTTTTTTTTTTTTAAACTGAGTCTCCCTCTCACCCAGGCTGAAGTGCAATGGCGCGATCTCTGCTCGCTGCAACCTCTGCCTCCCAGGTTCAAGCGATTCTCGTGCCTTAGCCTCCCAAGTAGCTGAGATTACAGGCTCCTGCCACCACGCCCAGCTAATTTTTGCATTTTTTAGTAGAGATAGGGTTTCACCATGTTGGCCAGGCTGGTCTTGAACTCCTGACCTCAAGTGATCTACCCGCCTCAGCCTCCCAAAGTGCTGGTATTACAGGCATGAGCCACCACGCCCGGCTGTAGAGATGTATTTCTACATCATCCTTTTAGATTGCTCCATTGCATTCAGGAATTTAAAGAACTTGAATGTCTTCTCAAAATCGGGTTCTGTCACTGCAGTCTTGTGGCATTACCAATATTTTGATAGATGGTGTGAGCTACTGAGCTGAAAATAAGTTTATTTTTATTTTTTATTTTTTATTTTTTGAGACGGAGTCTCGCTCTGTCGCCCAGGCTGGAGTGCAGTGGCACAATCTCCGCTCACTGCAAACTCTGCCTCCCAGGTTCATGCCATTCTCCTGCCTCAGCCTCCCGAGTAGCTGGGACTACAGGCGCCCCTCACCACACCCGGCTAATTTTTTGTATTTTTAGTAGAGACAGGGTTTCACTGTGTTAGCCAGGATGGTCTCGATCTCCTGACCTCGTGATCCGCCTGCCTTGTCCTCCCAAAGTGCTGGGATTACAGGCGTGAGCCAAAGCACCCGGCCATGTTTAACCTGCCACTCTAGGCTTGCATTTAATATCACCTCACCTCTTAGGGTTCCAGCTGTTCTTGGTAACGTATCTGCAATTCTGTTCAGAAATTTGAGGACCCAGAATTAGTCCAGGAGAAAAAGGAGGGGGTGTCTGTTTTGGTTCTCTAGCCAATGTGCCTAGTTGTTTTACAGGTTGAAATTCTTAGAATTTGGTCCAAACAAGAGTATCAAGAGGTGAACCATTTTATGTGATTATCAGTATTCACTGTTTATGATAAAGATCTGTTTAGTAAACCTGTATTTGTGTATGACCGTATGTGGAGCAACATTTGGAACAAATGTTGAGCTAGAACTGTGGGGATGGAAATGAATATGATTTACTAGAAACACTGCAGGGAGTTGAGTCCACAGGCTGCAAGTGCTGATTGAATGGTGAGGGGAAGTCAGATATGGTTATGGCTGGGGATTCAAATCTAAGCTCTAGAATATTGATGGTGCCTTTTCTGAGAAGCAACAGGATTAAGAATCAGCATGTGGCTAGTCACAGTGGCTCACGCTTGTAATTCCAGCACTTTTGGGAGGCTGAGGTGGGAGGATTGCTTGAACCCAGGAGTTTGAGACCAGCCTGGGCAACATAACAAGACATACAAAATTATCTACAAAAATAAAAAAGTAGGCCGGGCATAGTGGCTCACGCCTGTAATCCCAGCACTTTGGGAGACCAAGGCGGACTGATCACCTGAGGTTGGGAGTTTGAGATCAGCCTGACCAACATAGAGAAACCCCATCTCTATTAAAAAATACAAAATTAGCTGGGTGTGGTGGCAAATGCCTGTAATCCCAGCTACTCAGGAGGCTGGGGCGGGAGAATCTCTTGAACCTGGGAGGTGGAGATTGTGGTGAGCTAAGATCGCACTGTTGCACTCCAGCCTGGGCAACAAGAGCGAAACTCCATCCCAAAAAAAAAAAAAAAATTAACCAGGCATGCTGAGGCAGAAGGAGTTCAAGGTTATAGTGAGCTATGATCGCACCACCACACTCCAGCCTGGGCGACACAGCAAGACCCTGTCTTTTTTTTTTTTTTTTTAATGAATGAGCATGTAAGTTTGCTGAGGGCGTCTTATTTATACCTGTTTCTCAAAGCTGTTTGCGTGTAGAAAGACTCAAAGACTCAGTTATTCAATAGATTGAATGAATTCTGTTTTAAACTTGGTAAGTTTTGGGGGTGCCATTCTTGCAAGTGAAATGTAGGTTAGGAATTGAAAGAAAGGTTGGGGTCAAGGTCAGGTTCTTTTTTTTTTTTTTCGAGGCAGGGTCTCACTGTGTCACCCAGTCTGGAGTGCAGTGGCCCCATCTCAGGTCACTGCAGCCTCCGCCTTCCAGGTTCAAGCGATTCTCCTGCCTCAGCCTCCCAAGTAGCTGGGATTACAGGCGTTCGCCAACATGCCCAGCTAATTTTTTGGATTTTTAGTAGAGACAGGGTTTCACCATGTTGGCCATTCTGGTCTGGAACTCCTGACCTCAAGTGATCCACCCACCTTGGCCTCCCAAAGTGCTGAGATTACAGGCTTGAGCCACCGCTCCCGGCCAGGTTCTTTTTTAAAAGAAATCATTTTTTTAAGATTTAATTCATATGCCATACAATTGACTGATTTAAATTGTACCAGTCAGTGGTTTTTGGTATAGTCACAGAGTTCTACAGCCATCACCATAATTGACTTTAGAACATTTTTATTACTCAAGAAAGAAACTCTGTGTCCCTCAGCTGTCACTCCCAATTTCTCCAAGAATCCCAGCCTTTTTTTTGGACAGACTTTCGGTTTTGTCTCCCAGTCTGGAGTGCAGTGGCGCAATCTCGGCTCACTGCACCCTCTGCCTCCCAGGTTCAAGTGATTCTCCTGCCTCAGCCTCCAGAGCAGCTGGGACTACAGGCGCGTGCCACCATGCCCAGCTGATTTTTTGTATTTTTAGTAGAGACGGGGTGTCACCGTGTTACCCAGGATGGTCTCGAACTCCTGACCTCATGATCCTCCCACCTTGGCCTCCCATGGGCGTGATCCTCCCCTCTTAGTAGCTGGGTTCATAGTAAGATTTGCCTAGTCTAGACATTCCTATACAGGGGATCTTGTAATATGTGATCTCTGTGACTGGCTTCTTTCACTTAGCATAATGTCTTCAAGGTTCATTCATGTTGTAACGTGTTATTTCTCCATTCCTTTTTATGGCTGAATAATATTCCATTGTAGGGCTATACCACATTTTGTTTATCCATTCATCAGTTGATGGATATTTGGATTGCTTATACTTTTTGACTATTGTGAGTAGTGCTGCTAAAGACATTTGTGTACAAATTTTTATGTGGACATATGTTTTGTGCATGTATGCATATGAGGGGAATTGCTGAATCCTATGGTAACTCTGTGCTTAAAGGAAGAGTTTTAGGCCAGGTGCAGTGGCTCACACCCTTAATCCCAGCACTTTGGGAGGCCGAGGCGGGCGGATTACTTGAGGTCAGGAGTTCGAGACCAGCCTGGCCAACATGGTGAAACCCCGTCTCTACTAAAAATACAAAAATTAGCCACGCGTGATGGCATGTGCCTGTAATCCCAGCTACTCAGGAGACTGAGGCAGGATAATCCTTGAACCTGGGAGGCAGAGATTGCAGTGAGCTGAGATGGCACCACTGCACTTCATCCAGCCTGGGCGACAGAGCAAGACTCCATCTCAAAAAAAAAAAAAAGGAAGAGTTTTGAGTCATCCTCATTACAGAGGCTGCAGAAAAAGATGACGTTATCAAGAAAGTGAAGCCTAAAAAGAGAGTAGTCAAGGATTAAGTTTTAAGAACACCCATATCTCTGTGGTAGGCAGGATCAGATGCATAAGGTGGCAGAGACCCAAGGAGCCCATCTCCTTCGAAAAATCTGCTCTTTTACAATATCCTTTCCTGCATTTACTCTTCAAATCTGTATGTGCTGTGACAGGTGAAAACTGGACTGTGTATGTTGTTGGGAAAGGAAAACTGAACCAAATTAAAATTGAGCACTTCCTACTTATTTTTGGCATCAAATAGCAACTCCACGTTATCTCTACTAACCTCCCCCATCCCCCACCTTACACATACATAAATGGCCTAAAATCTGAAGTGCCCCTAGAAAGATGTTTCTGTATCTGGAAATAAAGGAGAAAGGGGAAGATTCTAGATCTAAAAGGGATACATTTCTCTCAGCACTGTTTTTGAGACGGAGTCTCACTCTGTCACCCAGGCTGGAGTGCAGTAGCGTGATCTTGGCTCACTGCAACCTCCGCCTCCCAGGTTCAAGCAATTCTTCTGCCTCAGCCTCCTAAGTAGCTGGGACTACAGGTGCCTGCCATCATGCCCAGCTAATTTTTATATTTTTAGTAGAGACAGGGTTTCACCATATCGGCCAGGTTGGTCTCTAACTCCTGACCTCAGGTGATCTGCCTGCCTGGGCCTCCCAAAGTGCTGGGATTATAGGCATGAGCCACCGCACCCAGCCTTACAGCACTGTTTATGAAAGCTTTTCACATCCAGAATCTCATTTGATTCTCGCTCTTCCCCTGTACACACAGTTTATCTCTTGGTAATGTTTTGTTTTGTTTTATTGCTTGTTCTTTTTTTTCTTTGAGATGGGAGTCTTGCTTTGTTGCCCAGGCTGGAGTGCAGTAGCAAGATCTCGGCTCACTGCAACCTCTGCCTCCCAGGTTCAAGCGATTCTTGTGCCTCAGCCTCCCGAGTAGCTGGGATTACAGGAGCCTGCCACCACGCCTGGCTAATTTTGGTATTTTTAGTGGAGACTGGATTTCACAATTTTTTTTTTTTTTTTTTTTTTTTTTGAGACAGAGCCTCGCTCTGTCACTCAGGCTGGAGTGCAGTGGCGCAATCTCGGCTCACTGCAAGCTCCGCCTCCCGGGTTCACACCATTCTCCTGCCTCAGCCTCCTGAGTAGCTGGGACCACAGGCGCGCGCCATCATGCCTGGCTAATTTTTTGTATTTTTAGTAGAGATAGGGTTTCACCGTGTTAGCCAGGATGGTCTTGATCTCCTGACCTCGTGATCCGCCCCTCTCGGCCTCCCAAAGTGCTGGGATTACAGGCGTGAGCCACCATGCCCCGCCTTGGATTTCACCATATTGACTAGGCTGTTCTCGAACTCCTGACCTCAAGTGATCCACCTGCCTCAGCCTCCCAAACTGCTGGGATTACAGGTGTGAGCCACTGCGCCCAGCCTAATCTTTTGGATTTAATTTTTTTAATTCGCCTTTCTGTGTTACCTAAACATCATGGAACAGCAATCTAATTTCTTATCACTTCTGATATTTAAGTTAGTATTATAACGTTACGCTCTTTTACCTTTGGGAAGGTTCGTTAAAATTCATCTTTTCTCTCCTTGTTTAGGGTTAGGGAAAGCATCAAGAATGAAAGTGTGGGTCAGGCATGGTGACTTGTGCCTATAATCCCAGCACTTTGCGGGGCCAAGGCAGGAGGATTGCTTGAGCTCAGGAGTTGGAGACGAGCCTGGACAACATATCAAAACTTTGTCTCCACCAAAAAAAAAAATTAGCCAGGTGTGGCCTGGCACAGTGACTCATGCCTGTAATCCCAGCACTTTGGAAGGCCGAGGTGGACAGATCACGAGGTCAGGAGTTCAAGACCAGCCTGGCCAACGTGGTGAAACTTTGTCTCTACTAAAAATACAAAAATTAGCTGGGCGTGGTGGCACACGCCTGTAGTCCCAGCTACTCTGGAGGCAGAGGCAGGAGAATCACTTGAACCTGGGAGGCGGAGGTTGCAGTGAGCCAAGATTATGCCACTGCACTCCAGCCTGGGTGACAGAGTGAGACTCCATCTCAAAAAAATAAAAAAATTAGCCAGGTGTGGTGATGTGCACCTGTCCCAGCTACAGGAAGCTGAGGCAGGAGGATCACTTGAGTCTGGGAGAGGGAGGCTGCGGTGAGGAACGATTGCACCATGGTACTCTAGCCTGGGTGACAGAGCAAGATCCTGTCTAAAAAAAAAATGAAAGCATGAAGTATCTTATCTGGCTGACCCATTTCTGCTTTGGTCAGGTCAAAGCAGATTTTTTTTTTCCCCTACTTAGGCAAGATTTATTTCAAGGCCTGTAAACATTCAGACTAATCAGAATGGTCAAAGTGGATTTTGTTGTTGTGGAAACTGCATGTTTGGTACACTAAACTGGGAAAGTTAGGAGCCAAGAAACC